>NW_019805496.1:0-279644 GCF_000001405.40 Homo sapiens
GAATTCAACACAGACACACATATCCCTTCAAAAACTTTTATTTGTATCAACAGTTCCTAGCTCTTGACTTAGCTTAGAGCTTTTAAAAGAGCAGACACCTTATATATTTGAGATTGAAAAAGTTTCTGCTATTAATCAGAAATAATCATTTCTATTTTCTGGCTTACCCCTTGGAATAAGCCAAAAATAAAACCAAAGTTACATTTCCTGACAGATGGATAAGAAAACAATAGAAGGAACATCCTGAATTCTAGAGTTGACTCTTGCTGGTGAAGTACACCTTCAGCTTAGTCCATTCTCCTAAGTAAAGCCTGAAGGAAAACTCTTAACACCTAATTCTTTGTGGAAAAATGATCAACTAGCCATTTCACAGGCTATAGAACAAAAGTACAATTGGGCATCTTTCCTTATGTCCTGGGATCAGGGGTGCTTACATTTAACATTGATCAGGTAAAGAGGAGAGGCTGTGCCTAAGGTCTGAGAAAAGGCTTGCTCTAAGCAAGCTGTGGTGAGGCACAGGATGACTAGGGAATGGCAGAGAACAGGCTGGCCTACTGTCAGTTCAAGCAACCAGCTGAGCAGCAGCAGTCTAAAAAGCCCCAAACAGAACACCTCCATGGATTCAGGGAAGGGCTGAGGCACTGCCTTTCTAGTATGTGCCAAAAAAAACATAACTCTGAATTGGGGCCCAGGGGACTTTGAGTTTGTATGGGGAGGGAAAAGGAGTGAGCAGTTCTCCTCCCCTCCCCACAGCCTTAGGCCAACACAAACTGCAAATTGGTAAGCAGCACCTTAATACCTCTTGTGACAGTTACGGCTGAAGTGGCAGGGTCAAGCTTGTAGGTGTTGGCATCCCCCTTTTTATATCGGTCCCGGAAGACATAGATGCTCCCGTTACAGCTGGCAATCTTCCAGAGGGATGGGGCAGAGCTCCAGGCCTCAGGAAGGCAAAGCCGGGTGAAGCTGTCTAGCAAGGGATTGTAGCACACCAGGGAGTCCCCTTCAGCCACGATGAACACCAGATCTTTATGCACAGCTGCGTGCATGCGGCCTGCAAAGGGCAGCACATAGGGCTTCACATGGCATTTGTCTGTCTCTGTGTCAAAGCACTGGATGAGTCGGGAAGGTTTGGTAAAGAAGTCCAGATCATTCTCCTCCCCCCCTAGTAAGTAGATGATCCCGTTGAGGTTGGCACCAGCAGCCCCTGACACAGCCACCTCTAGCTGAGTTGTCTCTGTCCACACATTATCACCTACGCGATAATAAATGACTGCGTTGGAGAGGGTATCTTGCAGTGTCTTGCCACCCAGTGAATATATGGCATCTTTCCCGGGCACAGACACCAGGGTGTGCTGGAGCCGGTCCCGAGGCAAAGGAGCACACCACTCCCAGTCAACGGTGGCATTGTTGCACTTCCACATGCGCCGTGGGATGGACCCTCCCACCACATACAAGTCTCCACCATGCTTGCAGGCCGCAGTGATCTGGTGGCACAAACTGTTTTGGCCACTTACACTGATGGAGTCATCTTCTGCACAGTGCAAGGACACAGCCAACGAGTGGGTACGAGATGACTCTTTCCCAATCAGGTAAATGTGCACATTCTCCCCAATTTCCTATTGGCAAAATTAAAATTATATGACAGCTGTTAAATTCTAGGCTAAGGCTCAGCTAAGACACATATCCTTAAGATCCTGGCCCTCACACTTGTTCCTAGCTTTATCATACTACTCTCTAATTACTGTATGGCATCCAACTCTCCTCTAGTCACTTTCTTTGAGGCAATTTATGCCGGGCGGAGAATCTGTTGTATTCATCCTTGTAGCTTTTAAAAAACTCTCATAAGCTAGTGCTTCAGACAAAGGGTGATTAAGATTGTTAACTTGATGACAGTAGTTCTCAAGGAACTTTGAAAGCTCATAGATTGGTGGTACTGGGGTTACAAAGACATCCTTCTCCCCAGCTCATATCAACTTCAAGCCAGAGATAACTTATTCAAAAATAAATAAATAAATACAAAAAATTAAAAAAACAAGAGATGGCCGGGCACAGTGGCTCACACCTGTCATCTCAGCACTTTGGGAGGCCGAGGTGGGCAGATCACCTAAGCTCAAGAGTTCGAGACCAGCCTGACCAATATGGTGAAACCCTGTCTCTACTAAAAATACAAAAATTAGCCGGGCGTGGTGGTATGCACCTGTAGTCCCAGCTACTCGGGAGGCTGAGACAGAAGAATTGCTTGAATTTGAGAGGCGGAGGTTGCAGTGAGCTGAGATCATGCCATTGCACTCCAGCCTGGGAGACGGAGTAAGACTCTGTCTCAAAAACAAACAAACAAAACAAAACAAAAAACAGAGACGACCATTCATAATCTGGCCATCAAAAAGAGGCCAGGTTAGGCCAGGCGCATTGGCTCATGCCTGTAATCCCAAGACTCTGGGAGGCCAAGGTGGGTGGATCACCTGAGGTCAGGAGTTCGAGACCAGTTTGGCCAACATGGTGAAACCCATCTCTACTAAAAATACAACAATTATCTGGGCGTGGTCGTGGGCGCCTGAAATCTCAGCTACTCGGGAGGCTGAGGCAGAAAAATCGCTTGAACCCAGGAGGTAGAGGTTGCAGTGAGCCGAGATCGCACCATCGCACTCTAGCCTGGGCAACAAGAGCGAAACTCCATCTCTCTCTCTCTAGCCTGGGCAACAAGAGCGAAACTCCCATCTCTCTCTCTCACACACAGACACACAAAGAGGCCAGGTTAGGCCAGGCACAGTGGCTCACACCTGTAATCCCAGCATTTTGGGAGGCAGAGGCAGGCAGACTATCTGAGATCAGGAGTTCCAGACCAGCCTGGCCAACATGGTGAAACCCCATCTCTACTAAAAATACAAAAATTAGGCGTGGTGGCAGCACCTGTAATCCCACCTACTTGGGAGGCTAAGGCAGGAAAATAGCCTGAAACTGGGAAGTGGAGGTTGCAGCGAGCTGAGATTGCACCACTGCATTCCAGCCTGGGCAACAAAGTGAGAATCCGTCTTAAAAAAAAAAAAAAAAAGGCCGGGCGCGGGGGCTCATGCCTGTAATCCCAGCACTTTGGGAGGCGGAGGCGGGCGGATCACGAGGTCAGGAGATCGAGAGCATCCTGGCTAACACGATGAAACCCTGTCTCTACTAAAAATACAAAAATTAGCCGGGCGTGGTGGTGGGCACCTGTAGTCCCAGCTACTAGGGAGGCTGAGGCAGGAGAATGGTGTGAACCCGGGAGGCGGAGCTTGCAGTGAGCCGAGATTGCGCCACTGCACTCCAGCCTGGACGACAGAGCAAGACTCCATCTCAAAAAAAAAAAAAAAGAGGCCAAATTAACTGATGGCAAGAATGCATGGAGAGTATGCAGTCTCAACAATTAAGAGATTTGCCTTACCTTCAAGCTTGTCCTGAGTGACTCTGCAAAAGCCTCTCTTTCCTCTTTATTAAAGTTGATCCAGGCTTCTATTGCCTCTGTTGGGTTCTGAGAACACGGAACTCCATCTGTGAGAGCCAGAGGAAAGGCATGGTCAATGACAATCCGAAAGAGAAATTCAGAGTAAGGGACTTTAAAGATGTGAACCACTTTATTAGACTACTGCTGGGCATGTGTATATGTGTACATGCATACATACACATATACATGAAATTAACCTAAAATTGCTTTTTTTTTTTTTTTGAGGCAGGGTCTCACCCTGTCGCTCAGGCAGAAGTGCAATGGCGCAATCACCATCACCATAGCCTCAACCTCCTGGGCTCAAGCAATCCTGTTTCAGCCTCCCAAGTAGCTGGGACTACAGGTGTGCACCACCACGCCTGGCTAATTTTCTTATTTTCTGTATAGACAAGGTCTCACTGTTGTCCAGGCTGGTCTCAAACTCCTGCCATCAAGGGATCCTCCCTCCTTGGCCTCCCAAAGTGCTGGGATTACAGGCATGAGCCACCATGCCTGGCGGGTCTTGCTTTTTTTTTTTTTTTTTTTTTTTTTTGAGATGGAGTCTTGCACTGTTGCCCAGGCTGGAGTGCAGTGGCGTGATCTCGGCTCACTGCAAGCTCCACCTCCCGGGTTCACGCCATTCTCCTGCCTCAGCCTCCCGAGTAGCTGGGTCTACAGGCGCCTGCCACCATGCCCAGGTAATTTTTTGTACTTTCACCATGTTAGCCAGGATGGCCTTGATCTGACCTCGTGATCTGCCCGCCTCGGCCTCCCAAAGTGCTGGGATTACAGGCGTGAGCCACTGCGCCTGGCCCGTACCTTGCTCTTTTTTAAAGATAGTCTCATGTGTTACATGAGCCCTCAAAAAGTTGGGTAAAGACTCATAACCGTTCCTCTCCATGGAAATCTTTAGTAAAAGGTAAAAGATTTATACAATCTGAAGAGAAACCAGAGTATGTGCCTTGCTTTTTTAAAATCAAAATGGATGACTCGATATTTTCCCATCTGCCATGGAAGCAACCTACTAAGCTACAGAGCTCACACCATTTTTTTTTTTTTTTTTGAGATGGAATCTTGCTCTGTCGCCCAGGCTGGAGTGCGGTGGCGTGATCTTGGCTCACTGCAACCTCTGCCTCCGGGTTCAAGTGATTCTCCTGCCTCAGCCTTCCCAAGTAGCTGAGACTACAGGTGCAAGCCACCATGCCCAGCTAATTTTTGTATTTTTTGTGGAGACGGGATTTCGCCATGTTGGCCAGGGTGGTCTTGAACTCCTGACCTCAGGTGATCCACCCACCTCGGCCTCCCAAAGTGTTGGGATTACAGGTGTGAGCCACCATGCCTGGCCAACCTCACACCTTAAGTATGGCTATATCTCACTTGCAAGGTTAGGATTGTTTCCTAACGTTGGCCCATCACTAAAAAAGTTTTTAGTCTTAGATATCTTGCCCCATCACCAATTTACATAGGTAATTAGACCCACTGGGACATACGAAGTACAGGATAAATTAGAGTATAATACAAATCACTCCTCACTACTCTGTGTGGTTAAATGTTGTGCTTTAATTTTCCTGACTTCTTCCTCTAACGCACTGTGTCTCTGACAGCAATTACACTGAATCTCACCTCAATCTTTCTCAGCAGGTTATCTCAGTAAGAATGCAGGAATAATAATGTAAACTAACACCAGGAAGCTTGAGGGTTCTTTTCTCCTAAACTAGAACATTCACTGAACATCATAGCCAAGTAACTGGGTATGGTGTGTCCCCTCCCTAAACTTACCCGAGATGATATCTGTGAGTAAGCGGTGGGGCAAGTGGAGAAATTCCTCTGTATTCTGCAGCTGGGCCAGGTGGGTCTTGGCACAGTGCTTGGCAGCCGTATAGAGCTCAGGATCACTGTGCCGATCTGCCAGCCACATCACCTGAAGGCAGTTTCCCACTTGCACTGTGCGGGCCAAAAACCGAGAGCATTCCTCAAAGAGAGATGTCAGCTGATACATGTCTGACACCTCATAAATTTCCTGCAACTCCTCAGCTCGAAGTTTCACAGTCCCATGGTAGATATAATCAACCAGGAGCTGGAAAACAGACTCGCTGACATCCTGCAGCACAATCACCCGGTTGTGGGCCTCCTTCAGGTTGGAAGTGAACATGGATCGGAAGAAGCAGCTCTGAGCTGAGAGGACCAGCCGATGGAGCTGAAACTCCCGGCCTTCCACCGAAATGGTGACATCAGCAAAGAGCTCCTCCTCTAGACACAGTTTCATGATGCCTTGAGCCACACGGCCTGAATGTGACCGATCTTTGAAAGTGTAGTTCACAAAGTAGTTCTCATCCATGGATGCTCCAGGCTCCTCTGGTGATTCCATGCTAGCCAACTTCTCTCTCTGCCAGCTGTCTGCAAAGCAACACCATCTTGAGTAACCTGAGGAATTCACAGCCATAGTCTGTGAATCCAACTGTCCAACTCAGGGAGGGAAAAGGAAGAAGTGAGAGCAAAGTGGGTCCAGATTGGCCTTAGTCCTGGCCCTGTCCATGATGTCCCTGACGCTATCCTTTAACCAAATCTGGGTTCGTTATCCCCAGTGGCGCCCCTCCGCTAATGATATAAATAAAAGTTCCAACTCTGGGTGTTTTCCTGAGAAAACACGGAATAATTCCTTTCCATAATGTTAACAAAAGACTTGGGATTTAGGTCAATATATGAAAGCAAAGGGCTGGGAGAGGCCTGTGATCGTAAAAGCCTTACTAACCAAATAACTGGGGCATAAAACTAGTGAAGCTCAGGGGCAGTAGAATCAGACAAAAAGGACCCCTGGCCCCGGCCTAGTGGCCAGGTCCTCTCCTTCCCAGCGCATGGAGTTAAGACGCTCCATATGAAGCCTAGCCTGGGATATCCGTGGGTCTTACATTTGCTCTCTTCTGAGCTGCTTCCCCCACACTTCCCCGCTCGCTCGAAAGACTCCCTATGGCTGCGTCCCAGAACTTGAGTCCATCCGCCCCCAGGCCGGGGCACTGGGAGGCCCATCACCCTGTGCAATGTCCCCGCTCCACCTTGAGTCGTCTTGGAAACGGTCGCCAGGGAAACCGTTCTTCCCGCTCAGGCCCGCCCGCCCTCGTCAAAAGCTTGGCTCAGAGAGCGGGGGAGGGGTGTGTAGCGTAGAACCCAAAACGCCCGCCCCCTCCCCTCCTCTCACCCGCCTGGTTCTTCAGCGTCCTCGCCTTCTCTCTAGGCTCTGCCACAAGGAGCTAGGACCACGCTCACCTCACGATTTCCCTACCTGCCTGTCTCGCTTTCTCACCTGCGTTCCCTCCTTTCATCCCGGAGCCCGGAACCTCCGCTTCCGGCTCCACGTCCGCCCGGAAGAAGATCTGCTGCACACTTCCGTTTCCGGTCCGTGCCCTTGGGGCTCCGTGTCCTGCTGTCTTTCCGTCCGCTGCCTAGTCTGCATCTGAGTAACATGGCGGCGGCGGCGGTAGCCAGGCTGTGGTGGCGCGGGATCTTGGGGGCCTCGGCGCTGACCAGGGGTGAGCACGGGCAGCCAGCTGAGACCGGGGTCAGGCGCAGCGGCGTGCCCAGTGCAGAGAGCTCCTCAGGGCTCATCCCGCGCGTCTGTGCCTTTTATCTCCCTGTGCAGGGACTGGGCGACCCTCCGTTCTGTTGCTGCCGGTGAGGCGGGAGAGCGCCGGGGCCGACACGCGCCGTGAGTATGTGCGGGCAGCGCTCTTCTCTGAACTATCGGCGGGGCCCCTTAGATGCCTGTCCTTGCCCTAGGATGCCCTTCCCTACGTCCTCCTGGCAAATCTTGGAGATCTGACTTGCAGTGGTCTTCACCCTGCATGCAGAATCGAGCCCTCCCTGTGCCCTTAGGCCTGTTATGGCCCTGATTGTTCCTTGTCCATTTCAATCATCCCCTTTTTGTCTGATTAAACTGTCAGCTCTTTGAAAGCAAGCAATATAACCTTTAGGCCTCAGAGCCCTGTAATAATAGTACCTAGCGTTAATTGAGTGCTTAATGTGTGCCTGGAACCTCGCTAAGCGTTTTAGTGAATGATCTTATTTCGTCCTCACAACAGCCTTATGGGGTAGATAGCATCTTACTCTTCTTACTATAGATCAGGAAACAGTCCAAAGAATTAAACTGCCCAGGGTCAAAGACCTAGTGAATGACAAAGTAGGCCTGCCTGCTGCCAGAGGCAGAAACACCTAACCATTATTCTGTAGCTTGTGATGTGTGATTGCTCAGTGGTTTAGGGTTGCATGAATGAGTATGTACATATTATGTTACAGTCAAGATACACGGACTGGGAGTTAGGAGACCTGGCATTTCTCCTTTCCTGGGTTTTCTCATTGACACACACACACACACACACACACACACACACACACACACACACACCTGGGCCTCAGTTTTCTCATTGACACACACACACACACACACTTTTAAGGAGAGAGAGAGTCTGTGAGGGATCTTCAAGCCCTGAAGTTCTTAGCTTGAGAACCTGGTATAAACTTGCGTGCTAAGGAGCTACAGAGAGGCAAAAGTTCAGTTCCCATCCTCAAACAGCTCTTAGTCTGACAGGAGAACTGAGACTACTGCTTTAGCAGAAATGCAGGCAATGTGAGGGAAGAACTGTGGAGTAATTTTGAGAAGAGGTGAACACCCCAGCTGCTATAGTAAGAGTCTTTCTGAGGACCGTGTAGTTAAGGTGGCACTTTCCCCAAGTTTTCATCACTGTATTCCCTAGAAGGGAAACCTTTCACATGCACCTTTCTCAAGGTGCTTCAGGGAGCCTTTCCTGGATTTGACATCCCTTACAAGCCTAAGAGACTGCATGCAGGGCTGGCTTTTGCCTTCTCCATTTCTTTTTTAAATATGCCTTTTCCTTCCAGCCACTGTCAGACCACGGAATGATGTGGCCCACAAGCAGCTCTCAGCTTTTGGAGAGTATGTGGCTGAAATCTTGCCCAAGTATGTCCAACAAGTTCAGGTAATACTTACTAATGTTATTTGGGTCTGGGTCAAGAAAGAACCATGTTCGCAGGGCATGTGGGAGTGGGCAGACTTGTTTCAAAGAAACTACAGATTCCTCCATCCCAAGCTTGGACTTTTCTCTCAGCATTAAACCAGGTGACTCCAGCTGAAGTTAGCTGTTCCCTCAGTAGCTCTTTGTTCCCTCTCCCCTCACTTTCATGTGTGCAGGTGTCCTGCTTCAATGAGTTAGAGGTCTGTATCCATCCTGATGGCGTCATCCCAGTGCTGACTTTCCTCAGGGATCACACCAATGCACAGTTCAAATCTCTGGTTGACTTGACAGCAGTGGACGTCCCAACTCGGCAAAACCGTTTTGAGGTCAGTTGGGAGATCTGAGAAGGTTTTGGGGGTAAGGATATTAATTTCAGTTTGTAACATACAATAGAACACAGCAGTTAAACTGGAACTTCAGAGTCAAGTAGATCTGAAGTTGGATCTTGGTTCTGCCACTAAATGGCTGTGGGACCTCAGATAACTCAAATATTTTGTTTAATTTTTTTTTTTTTTAGACGGAATCTTGCTCTGTCGCCAGGCTGGAGTGCAGTGGCATGATCTTGGCTCACTGCAACCTCCGTCTCCCAGGTTCAAGCGATTCCCCTGCCTCAGCCCCTTGAGTAGCTGGGACTACAGGTGCATGCCACCACGCCCGGCTAATTTTTTGTATTTTTTTAGTGAAGACTGGGTTTCACCATGTTGGCCAGGATGGTCTCAATTTCCTGACCTCGTGATCTGCCTGCCTTGGCCTCCCAAAGTGCTGGGATTACAGGCATGAGCCACCATGCCCGGCCCTTGTTTAATCTTTCTGAGCTTTCATTTTCTTACCGGGAAAATAAATATAAAGCTGTCCTTATCTTATAGAATGGTTATAAGGATCCAATGAGATAGTTCAAGTAAATTGCTTGCACACAGTGTTTTCAATACATTTAGCTATTAATATTTTACTGATTATCTACTGTTTGCCAGACTCTGGGATGGAGAGAGAAATAACATGAAGTATTTGTCCTCCAGGAGTCCCCTACACTCTAGTGAAGGAGAAAGACACCTAAACAGCTTACTGTAGTAACATATAATACAAAGGATATTAGAGGGATGCTTTAAGAAAGCAGGAGGGGCACTTGGCCCTGTCTGGGAGGCTTCTTTGAAAAGAGAGAATGTTTGTGCTGAATCTAAAATATGAGTAGGAGACCAGGTAGCCTTGTGAGATGGACCAGGGAAATATTCCTGACAAAGTGAATAGCATGAGCAAACACAGGCATGCTGACATGCTAAGCTACAGCTGTGGCCTGGGCCTTTGGAAGTAGTTGTAAGCATAGGAGAATCTTGAGGTTTTGAGGTTCAGAATAGAAGGCAGGGTCACAGGGCAGAACTCTCCCAATCAGGGACTCCCATCTCAGCCCTCCAGATCCTTCTGTTCTCCCTAGATTGTCTACAACCTGTTGTCTCTGCGCTTCAACTCACGGATCCGTGTGAAGACCTACACAGATGAGCTGACGCCCATTGAGTCTGCTGTCTCTGTGTTCAAGGCAGCCAACTGGTATGAAAGGGAGGTGAGTTACCGGATATGGTGGACCTGCCTCTGGGCCACAGTTGCAGAACTGGTTCAGACTACGGGATGCAGTGTAGCCCCTTCCCCCTGTTGTTAGTCTTGATGGATTGGCTGTTTGAGGTGGTCTCTTTCCTAGATCTGGGACATGTTTGGAGTCTTCTTTGCTAACCACCCTGATCTAAGAAGGATCCTGACAGATTATGGCTTCGAGGGACATCCTTTCCGGAAAGACTTTCCTCTATCTGGCTATGTTGAGGTAGGAGCCTTGGAACTGGGACAGCAGCCTCAGGGAGGGACTTGCAGAGAACCCAGGGGATCCCTGGGAATGGCAAGAAATACGGTCTGTGGATTGTGGTGGTTTAAGAGCATGGGCCCTGGATTCAGATCCTAGCTTCATTTTTGTAACCTGGGGCAAGTTACTTGGTTTGACTGTAACTCAGTTTTCTCATCTTAAAATGGCAATAATAATAGCACTTTAATAGATTTGTGGCTGGCATTAAATAATGTATGTGTAGGCTCACGCCTGTAATCCCAGCACTTTGGGAAGCCAAGACAGGAGGAGTGCTTGAGTCCAGGAGTTCGAGAACAGCCTAGGCAACATGGTGAAACCTCTTCTCTACAAAAAAATAGAAAAATTAACGGGGCATGGTGGTGCATTCCTGTGGTCCTGGCTGCTCAAGAGGCTGAGGTGGGAGGATCGCTTGAGCCTAGAAGGCGGAGGTTGCAGTGAGCCGAGATCACGCCACTGCTCTCCAGCCTGGGCAACAGAGTGAGACCCTGTCTCTAAATAAATAAATGATGTATGAAGCCTGCTGTATTGTAAAGGCTCAATTGATGCTGTGTGTGTGTGTGTGTGTCAGGGTCTCACTCTTGTCACCTAGGATGGAGTGCAGTGGTGCGATCATGGCTCACTGCAGTCTTGACCGCCCAGGCTCAAGTAATCCTCCCACCTCTCAGCCCTCCGAGTAGCTGGGACTACAGGCATGCACCAACATGCCCAGCAAATTTTTGTATTTTTTGTAGAGACGGGGTTTCTCCATGTTGCCCAAACTGGTCTCGAATTCCTGGGCTCAAGTCATCTGCCCGCCTCAGCTTCTCAAAAGTGCTGGGATTACAGGTGTGAGCCACCACACCTGGCCAGTGTTATCCATTATTGTAATGATCATTTTAATGATCAAGGCAGCCTTGACGACACAGTCTGTCCCTAAAACCTGAAAGTAGAGGATTATTTTACCCTGCCCTGACTCTCTGGGAAGGCAGTGACGGGGAAGACACCAGATGCTTAGCCCTCAAAAATTACCTCTGAGGTGGGACCAGTAACGTGAATAAAGAATTTCAGTGGTGCTGCAGGTTATTTGCAGGAAGATAGTGTGTAATATTATCACTCGTGAATTTTATAGCAAAGTAACTGTTTAGAAATGCAGAGATGTGGTGCTCCAGCCCTGCTCTTTTAGTTCCCAGTCACTCCTGCTGTGTTAGTGCTTTGCATGCTCCTATTTCCCTCTTGGGCTACTTCTGGGCAGGGCTATCTCCCTCGCTTCTCCCTTTCACCCCACTCCTGCTATCTGCCTCACCTGGTTTGCCTCTTCACTCTAGCACCTGATGATCCTTACCTTATCCATTTGATCCCCAAGTAACAAGAAAAGCTGTGTCAAATGTACTGCTTTAGATCTGGACTGTGAATATGCCAAGGGCACCGGGCCTGAGGTTGTGTATCTGCCAGTTTAGGTTTACTCTTTTCAGCCACCGACTACTCCCTAATCCTGGGCAAATGCTTACCATTACCTTGTAAGAGTGTGTGGGTGGGTGAGCAGTCAGTTCGGAGCTCCTGATGTGGGAGTGGTGAGCAGGGGAATCTGACTGGTGCTGGCAGGGCATGAGAGGTATCCTACATTTTGGAATCACACACTCTAGCTGGTTGGGATGTGATCTGACGGGTAACACAGGTATGGATGGAGACTTACTGACAGAGGCTGGGACAGGAGTCAGTAACCGAGAGGAATGGGCTGGGGAAGTCACCAATAGCCTTGTGAAAAGTAGGCTCCTGTGTAGCTATAATAAGGACTTCCTTAGTGCTCAAGCCTGCCTTTTGCTCCTGCAGTTACGTTATGATGATGAAGTGAAGCGGGTGGTGGCAGAGCCGGTGGAGTTGGCCCAAGAGTTCCGCAAATTTGACCTGAACAGCCCCTGGGAGGCTTTCCCAGTCTATCGCCAACCCCCGGAGAGTCTCAAGCTTGAAGCCGGAGACAAGAAGCCTGATGCCAAGTAGCTCCAGGGAACGCATGTGGATCCTAGACAGCGCCTTATCTATGATTGAGTGTCCGTGTAAATAAATTCCTACTTAGACTTACCACTTTGTGTGTGCTTGTAATGTGGAGAAGTGATGCTTTGGGGGGGACACAGGCAGGCAGGGGTGTTTCCCTGCTCTCTTAGAGAGGCACTACTAAACCAGGGAGTCTTTGATGGGTTTTTTTTTTTTTTTTTGAGACAGTGTTTCGCTCTTGTTGCCGAGGCTGGAGTACAATGGCGTGATCTCGGCTCACCACAACCTCCGCCTCCTGGGTTCAAGTAATTCTCTTGCCTCAGCCTCCCGAGTAGCTGGGATTACAGGTGTGTGCCACCACACCTGGCTAATTTTGTATTTTTAGTAAAGACGGGGTTTCTCCATATTGGTCAGGCTGTTCTTGAACTCCTGACCTCAGGTGATCTGTCTGCTTCGGCCTCCCAAAGTGCTGGAATTATAGGCGTGAGCCACTGTGACCAGCTCTTTTATGTTTTTTTGAGATGGAGTCTCGCTCTGTCACCCAGGCTGGAGTGCAGTGGTGCTGTCGCAGCTCGCTGCAACCTCCACCTCCCAGGCCCAAGCGGTTCTCCCCCCTCAGCCTCCCAAGAAGCTGGGATTACAGATGCACGCCACCACGCCCAGCTAGTTTTTATAGTTTTTGTAGAGATGGGATTTCACCATGTTGCCCAGGCTGGTCTCGAACTCCTGGCCTCAAATGATCCACACTGGCCTCCCAAAGTGCTGGGATTATAGGCGTGAGCCACCACACTCAGCCGGAGGTCTATTTTAATGGGACTAAAGAGTGTAGTTGCAGACGTGGTGGCCTGCAGGCATGGATGTATTTCTGAGAGGGATTCTGGAGCTGTAACTGAAAGTTCTCACAGTCCACAGGGTTCAGGATGGGTGTGGCATGGTAGCCAATCACTCTTGGGCTACAGGAATCTCCCTGGTTTCTGGCCTGAGCTGAGAATGGTGGGGTTCTTTTTTTCTTCTTCTTTTTTTTTTTTTTTTGAGATGGAGTTTTGCTATTGTTGCACAGGCTGGAGTGCAATGGCATGATCTTGGTTCACTGTGACCGCCGCCTCCCGGGTTCAAGCAACTCTGCCTCAGCCTCCCGAGTAGCTGGGATTACAGGCTTGCGCCACCACGCCCGGCCAATTTTGTATTTTTAGTAGAGATGGGGTTTCTCCATGTTGGTCAGGCTGGTCTCAAACTCCCGACCTCAGGTGATCTGCCCGCCTCGGCCTCCCAGAGTGCTGGGATTACAGGCGTGAGCCACCGCGCCAGGCTGGTGGGGGTTTTTTGAGACAGGGTCTTGGTCTGTCACCTAGGCTAGAGTGAGTACAGCAGTGTGATCGTGGTTCACTGCAGTCTAGACTGCCTGGGCTCAGGTGATCCTCCCACCTCAGCCTCCTGAGTAGCTAGGACCACAGGTGTGTACCACCATACCCAGCTAATTTATTTGTAGAGATGAGGGCTCACCATGTTGCCCAGGCTGGTCTTGAACTCCTGGGCTCAAGCCATCCTCCTGTCTTGCCCTCCTAAAGTGCTGGGATTACAGGCATGAGCCACCGTGCCCGCTCTGAATTAAGAATGTTGCTAGGAAACAAGAGGTCCCAGGGCTGGGGCAAAAACCACTCAGGAGCTGCAGATTTGTCTGTCTGCCAGGGGACAATACGCCCTAGCCCAGCTGATCTGTCTGTCCAGCCTGCGGCAGAGTGCCTGAGAGGGGAGTGCTTGGCTCTGCCTGTCTGTGGGGCCGCCCAGCCAGCCCACCATGCAGTTGGAAGACTTTGCAGCTGATGCTTTTGGCAGCTGAGGGGCTCCTTGGAGGCTGGGCTGGGCCAGACTGGGTGTCGGGGCTGGCCTCAGTCGCAGGATATTTTGAGGGCGCAGACAGTAAGATGGTCTTACTGCCTGAGCTCTTTCCTACCCTTTGGGAGGGCCAAGCTACAGCTATTTGCTACCAAACACCTTTTTCCTATTAACTAAGCATACCGCCCAGCTGGGCAGGAACAGGCTGAGGGCCTGACAAGCAGGGAGCCAGGCTCCTGCCAACAACCAAAGATTCCCCATTTCTAAAGGATGGAAAGAGCCCCTGGGAGGTGACCGAGGCCACAGCCAGCCCCTCCCTGTTCAGCACTGAAGAATGACACGCATTACAGAGCTCTGGAGCAGCCCGCAGTGGAAAGTTGGAGCTGAGGTGTGTGGCAGGCAGATGAGGGAGCAGAGAACTGCTGAACAGAGTGAGACTCAGAGGACGTGGTTGAGCATGGCTGCGACCCTGCAGTTCCTGGTTTGCCTGGTGGTAGCCATTTGTCTCCTCTCTGGTGTGACTACAACCCAGCCCCATGCAGGTACCAGGCTTCAGGGTGGGTGGAGAGGAGCCAAGGCTGCTGGCTGACAGCAGTTAACAGTTGGCTCTATTTGAGGCTAGTCGGGCATAGAAGCGTGGGCATGGTGGGTACCAGGCTGATGTGTGCTGTGGTGGGTGACAGTGTGGGCCCCACCCCCAGAACTGGAAAGGTACAGGTGACACCTAGGGAGATAGCCCTAGGTGCTCTTAATGCTGGCCCTGGGCTCATTCCCACTGATGCCCAAAGCAGGGTCTCTTGACCTGCCTGGGCTTGGAACAAACATTGCAAGGGTGAGGCAACACCCCAAGGTGTGGGCCGGACGGAGCTGCCACAGACATCCTCCCCTGCTCTGTCCTCCCTGCCTCACATCCTCCCCTGCCCCGTCCTCCCTGCCTCACATCCTCCCCTGCTCTGTCCTCCCTGCCCTGTCTTCCTCCTCCCTCCCTTACTGCTGAGGAGGAGCAGGGAGAGTAGGCTCTTTCCAAAGAGGTCTTTGTCCTTGGGAGAGTCACTGGCACTGTTTTAGGTGACTTTATCCTCAGATGACTATAGGGAGGGGAGGAGGGTGGGGAAGGGTCTTGTGACCCGTTGGCCTGGAGCTCTTTAACAAGGGCATTGTGCAATTTAAAGGAGGTGTCCTGGGCATTTGCCAACATGGTAACTGGGCTTGGAATGATGCTTTTGAGATCAGAGGACCTATGCCTGGGAGGGTGAATGTCAATGTGCATGTGTGTGCGTGAGAGGGAGGGGAAAGGAGGGCATGGGATGGCATTCCTGCCCTTTTGTAGAATGATGAAGCACTCGGGACCTCTACCAGGCAGCAGAGGGGCACTTCTGGGAGGCTGGGGTGTTCATGGTGTAGCATGGCAGGGGCCTGACTCCTCTCTGCTGCCCCAGGGCAGCCCATGGACAGCACCAGCGTGGGAGGTGGCCTGCAGGAGCCAGAGGCCCCGGAAGTGATGTTTGAGGTCTTTCCTCCCAGCCTGGGACATGGGGGTGGGCACGTCCAGAGGTCCCTAAGCTCAGGGTTGGGAAGGGGGATGTCTCAGGGTGGACCTGCTAGGGTTGGGTGGGGCAAGCCAGCATGCGTCCTGCTGCCTGCTTCTGCCCCTTCCCCCAGCCCACTCTTGCTCCCTGCCCTGCTCCCCAGGCCACAGCCCACCCCTTACATGGCTCCCCTTGCAGCTGCTCTGGGCTGGGCTGGAGCTGGATGTCATGGGGCAGCTGCACATCCAGGATGAGGAACTAGCGTCCACACACCCAGGCCGCCGACTCAGACTCCTCCTGCAGCACCACGTGCCCAGTGACTTGGAGGGCACTGAGCAGTGGCTGCAGCAGCTCCAGGACCTGCGGAAGGGGCCTCCTCTTAGCACTTGGGACTTTGAACATCTGCTCCTCACAGGCCTGTCCTGCGTCTACCGGCTCCACGCAGCTAGTGAGGCTGAGGAACGGGGCCGCTGGGCCCAGGTCTTCGCTCTCCTGGCACAGGAAACACTCTGGGACCTGTGCAAAGGTTTCTGCCCCCAGGACCGGCCCCCTTCCCTGGGGTCCTGGGCCTCCATCCTTGACCCCTTCCCCTGACCCTCCTCTTTTGTTCTTTCACCTGCCATTACCCCCTCCCATC
Organism: Homo sapiens; assembly: GCF_000001405.40. NCBI lineage: Eukaryota > Metazoa > Chordata > Mammalia > Primates > Hominidae > Homo > Homo sapiens. The sequence goes on from NW_019805496.1 coordinate 16,304, forward strand.
TCCTCCTCAACCCCCCAGGCAGACCCATCTTGCGCAGGGGCTTCTGTCTGGCATCTGATTCTTTTCACCGTGTTCAGATCTCTGGGCTTGGCTTGCACCCTGGACACCCCCTCTCTGCTTACCCCGACCAGATCTTGTTTCCTAGATCTTGAGAGGCTAAGAACCCAGGCTCTGGGTCGCAAGGAGTGCGCAAGGAGTGGGCACAGAGCTAAGGGCACGACTTGCAGGCAGTGTGTGTGTGAGTGTGTGTGTGTGTGTGTGTGTGTGTGTGTGTGTGTGGAGATCAGGGGTCAGGGTTGAGAAGTGTGTTCAAGAGATGCTGAAGGGAAGCTGCCCCAAGTAAGGCCTGGTCAGACCTTCCAACTCCTACCCTGGCAGTCTGTGACAGGTCCTGTGGAATTCACAGGAATCCTCTAGGTGCTGAGCATCCCCTTTTAGGCACAACCAAGGATTTGGGGTCTCTGAGCCTCCAAGTTCCCATCTGGGTTGGGAGAATCGACTTTTTGAGTTCTGTCAGTTGGAAGAGTGGAGGGAAGCAGGGGGAGGGAGGAACATTATCTCTTTTGGGGTAGGGAGGCAATATCTCAACAAGCGTCGGGTGAATACCTCAGAGGGGGGAGTAAGGCTGGGAGACCAAGGAGAGACAAGCGGAGGTGGGCTGGAGCAGGTGTGGCCCTGATTCTGTGTTGCTCTTCTCATAAAATGTTCTGTTTCGGCCTCCTGGAGCCTGTGTCATTCTATGTCGGAATAAGCGTCTAACCCCTGCTCTGGGCAAATCACTCTCCCCATCCCGGGAAGGCAAGAGTCAGGGCAACCAGGTATCAACTCCTCATCTCATTCCCACGCCCTGCTGGAAGAAGGAATGCACTGTTTCCTTGAATCCCATGCACCCTGTGGGGTAATGGGGTGCTGTTCCTTGTCACAGAAAGGCATCAGCCGGGGGCTAAGGCTGAGGTCGTAGGTCAATGATGAGTCAGAGGGCTAGACGAGGTAGGGATATAAAAGGGAGGCCCCCAACGGACTAGGCGAATGTGGTTCCATCAAATTCCCACCTCCTCACCCTCCCAGGGTCCAAGGGGACCTTGCTTTCCAACCTCCAACCCCTTCCCCGGGCCTGCGGGCCCGCAGTAGTCAGCACCTTCCCGCCTGCCGCCGGCGAATGCGTCGCAGTCAAGACAGCGCAGGGGCCTGGGCTGCCGGGCGCTGCGCGTGCCCGCTTTCCGCTTTATTGGCAGAGTCCAGGCGCGCCCGGAGGCCGTGGCGCTCGCGCGGGACTTTCGAGCCTCCGGCCCGGCCTGGCATGCACGCCCCTGGCCCTCCCGGGCTCTTCTCTGGCCCGGGGCTCACAGTAGCTCCGAGGCCCCGAGGCCCGGCGGGGCGGCGGGGGCGAGGTCGGGGTACACCAGGAAGCCGGAGAAGGTGATGTACTTGCCGTGGTTGCTGTAGGCGCCGTAGCCGTCGTGGTCGTGGCTGAGCAGCCAGACGGCGTCGCCGCGCCGCAGGGCCAGCATCACGCTCTGGCTCTGCATCTCGCGGCGCCGCGACGCGCCGTCGTCGTAAATCATGGCCTGCACCTCGTCGCGGTTCTTCATCAGCTTAACCGACAGCGTCTTACGCGGCAGCTTGCCCAGCGTGAAGGAGAAGAAGTAGGCGCCGGGCAGACGGCAGCGGAACACGCCGGCCGCCGCGTCGAAGTCGCCGCCAATGTTGACGAACTCGGTGTCGAAGGCGAGTGGTTGGTGCCGCGGCCCGGGGCCAGCGTCCGAGCCCACCAAGCTGCGCGTGCGCGCCGCCGAGAAGGCCGAGCGCGGCTCGGGGGGCGCGGGCGGCCCGCGCGCAGGCGCGTCAGCGTCGGCGTCGGCGTAGACTAGGTAGCCGCTGAAGGTGGCGCCGGGCGCGCCTAGCGCGTACTGCGGGGCGCCATGCAGCCGCAGCCACACTGTGTCGCCGTAGTCGAGCTGCAGCATGGCGCTCTGGCTGGCTGCGCGCCGCGCGCCTGGCCGCCGCTGCTCGTCGAAGGCCAGCGCCTGCACCTCGTCGCGGTTTCGCACCAGCATCACCGACAGGCTCTTGTGCGGGGCCTTGCCAGCCGTGAAGGAGAAGAAGTAGGCGCCGGGCACGCGGCAGCGAAACTGGCCGGTGGCCACATCGAAGTCGCCCCCGATGTTCACGTACACCTTGTCGAAGGTCACCGCCATCTCCGACGTGCCCTCCAGGGGGGTGGTGCGTGCCGCCGAGAAGGCCGAGCGCAGCTCAGAGGATCCCGGGCCGGGGGTCGGGCCCAGGGCCCAGCAGGCCGCTGGGCCCAGCAGGCCCAGCAGAAGCGGCAGCATGGCGCCTGGGAGGGAGACGGAGGGGCGAGAGTGGAGTGTTGGCAGGGGCGGCTTCCAAACGCCCGGCTCTCCACCGGGAGACAAGGGTTCTCTTCCCAGCCCTGCCCTTGACCCACAAGTAGGTTTCAATTTTCCTACATCCTTGGATTCTCAAACTCTAGCGAGCCTCACTGTCACTTGGAGGGCGTGTTCAAACATACATAGTTGGGCCCCATCACCAGAGTTCATTCAGTAGGTCTGTGATGGGCCTGATAATTTGCATTTCTTTGTTTTGTTTGTTTGTTTTGAGATGGAGTCTCGCTCTGTGAACCAGGCTGGAGTGTAGTGGCACGATCTCGTTTCACTGCAACCTCCACCTCCCGGGTTCAAGCAGTTCTCCTGCCTTAGCCTCCTGAGTAGCTGACATTACAGGTGCGCACCATCACGCCCAGCTAATTTTTTGTATCTTTAGTAGAGACGGGGTTTCACCATGTTGGCCAGGCTGGTCTTGAACTGACCTCAAGTGATCCACCTGCCTCAGCCTCCCAAAGTGCTGGGATTACAGGCGTGAGCCATCGCGCCTGGCCTTGAAACCCCGCCCCCCCCCCTTTTTTTTTTGAGACGGAGTCTGGCTGTGTCGCCAGGCTGGAGTGCAGTGGCTTGATCTCGGCTCACTGCAGCCTCCACCTCCCAGGTTCAAGCGATTCTCCCGCCTCAGCCTCCCAAGTAGCTGGGACTACAGGCTTGCACCCAGCACACCCAGCTAATTTTTGTATTTTTAGTAGAGACAGGGTTTCACCATGTTGGCCAGGATGGTCTTGATCTCTTGACCTTGTGATCCGCCTGCCTCGGCCTCCCAAAGTGCTGGGATTACAGGCGTGAGCCACCGCGCCCGGCCGAAACCCCTTTCTTAAGTGAAAGCTTGAACACAGACTAGCAGAAACACTCTGGTTAAAGAGGCCTACAGCCCTGTCTGCTGGGCTTGCCCCTACACCTCCCATTTGACACTCAGGGGCCCTGGTAACCCGGGGGATTCAGGGGAGTCTCTGAGTTCCCCTCAGCTCCAGTTGGCTGCATTTTCCTGTGGTTATTTTATGGTCCTTGGTCTGCCACTCACGCAGGCACTGGCTCTCTGTGTCAACGCTCTGCATGACCGTTACTGTTTAAGCCCCATCTGAGCAGGAAAGGAAATCGCTGCTCCCTGACCCCTTTCCTGGCCTCACCAGGGGCCCTTCCTGCACAGAGGAGGCGAGAACAGTTGGGCTTTGAGGTAGCTTCCTCCCCCTTGAAATCAGAGTAAAAGAGAAGGTGACTCCTTTCTCTTTGCTTGGAGGCTGGTTACTCAGAAGAAGGAGTGGCGAGCCAGGGGCTACTGGGGATGGACAGGGACAGCAACAATTCCAGCAGGGCTTTGGCAAGGCTGTGAAGTCAGCAGCTTTGTTCCTTGGGAGTGATGGATTGGAGAGGACAGATAGCCAGATCTGGGTTCAGGTCCTGGCTCTACCACTCACACTGTGAAACCTTGGGCAGGTTCCCTAACTTCTCTGGGCATGGCTTCCTCCATGTAAATGGGGAAGAGACCTCACACACAGGCTTGCTGTGGGGGTGTGCTGAGATAGGTGTGAACATGGTTTGTCAACGGCAGTGCTGAGGTGTGCAGATGCTTCTGTCGGTTGCCCTGACAAAAGTGATCTGGTCCAGTTCTTGACGTAAGGGTTTAGGGACTCAGTCACTCCTACCCCTGAGAGCTTGGTGAAGGCACTGCTTAACTCAAAGGAGTCACTCTCTGATGTAGGGATTCCATCCTGCTTCCTAGTAGGGCACGTGCTTTGGGGCTTGAATACCCAAAAGCCCTGATGTGGAAACAAAACAGGAAAGAAATGAGCTGGAGACAGCCTGGGATGTGGGCTGCTTTAGAAAATGCCCTGTATGTGTAGCTCTGTGTCTCTTAGAGACAGCAGGGACCTGCTGAGAAGGGTTGTCAGGTGTAGATGTGCAGAACGTCCCAGCTAGAATCTAGCTCACACTCCACATGTTAGAGCAGCACCTGGCGTAAAGTATGCCACCTTCTCATTCTCATACTAAAGACCCCAAGTTGCTAGCCAACTGAATGCTGTCTCCTTCCAGAGGAGGTGCTTTTTGTAATTCTCACAAAGGTGTCCTATGGATTAGTTAGGTGTCCCTTGGTTAGGACAGGGAGGAGGGAAGGGGCCATCCACAGTGGTGAAGATGGCACCTCACAAGTGTCCAGTGCATTCCCTTTTACAAAGTTCTTTTAGACACATGGTCTTGGCAAACCTACAAGACAGGTGGGCCGTCTCCCATTTTATAGATGAGAAAGCTGAGGCCCAACAAGGGAAAGCATTTTGGCCCAAGGTCACCCATGGAGCACTGAGGTTTTTTGACTCAAATTCCGTATGCCTTCCTGTCACTCTTCCCTCCTAGACACAGGTATGTCCAGCCAATTTGTTCTGTGCCTCAGTTTACCTTTTTGCAAAACTAGGAGAGGAGATCAGAGGAATGAGTCTTGGGATCCAGGGTGAGGAAGACAGAAAGCAAAACCAAACAAAAGCAAGCAAACACATTCTCTAGTGTTTTGTCTTCTGGGAACACGGAAAACAGCTCAGCTTTTCCATACCGCTGCTTTCCTAGTGGGTCCTGCCCCAGAAGCAGCTGCCCAGCAACCTCCTGACCAAGGCTGGTGCACCCCACCAGTGCCAAGGGTCTTCCTGTGCACCCAGTACCCAGCCTCCGTTTCACCCACACTGCCCAATTCCCAGATCCCTGGATCCTCGTCCTTCCCTGAACCCCCTTCCCTGAGCAGGTCAGAGGTGTGGGAGGGTGTGTCAGGTGGGTGTCATAGCTCCAGGGAAGGAAATGGCTGTTCCTGGCTCTGTCCAGGTGGGGTTCAAAATAGTCATCTTCAAAGAGAAAAACTGGGACACAGAGCTGGAGAGACCCAGAGCCCCGGAGCCAAGGCGGGAGGTGCAGCGATGTCAGGCTGAGGGGATCGCAGAGTTCCCCCTTGCCCTGCCACTCACCAGTTAACCCTTCCCTCAAGCCCTGCCAGAGCCCCCTCCCCAACCTACCTTGAAAGCCCCTCATCCTTCCAAGAAGTCCCACTTTCACAGAAGCCAATTAATCCTTATTTTTAAAAAACAAAAACCAATCCCTCTCCCCCGAGACCTTCCCTCCATCCATCCATCCCTTTGGAATGAAAGCCCTTGTGCCTGTTTCACGAAAAGGCTCCCAGGTCCTCCTTTCAAGGAAAAAGGACCCAATTTCCCCGCGCCTCCCCAGCCCTCGCTTCCAGTAAAGGGGGAACCTCGGCTCCCTGCCTCCCCTCAGCTGCCCTCACCTGGCTGGGGGCGGCGGTCGAGTCGGGTTCGGTCTGAGCCCGCGATCTGGCTCCGGGCTGCGGGCTGCGGGCTGCAGGCTGCAGGCTGCGGGTGCCGGGCTGCGCGCTGACCGCCCGCGCTGCGGCAGGGGCGGCGGGGGCTCCGGCTGCTTTTCCCGGCTCTGAGGCGGCAGCGGACAGGGTGCTGGGGCCAGGGGCCGGGCGTGGGGAGGCGTGAGGGAAAGGGAAGGTCAGCTAGAGAGGGAGCCGAGCGAGAGCGAAGAGGCGGGGGAGAGACGGGAGGGGGAGAGGAGGGGAGTAGGGGAGAGGGAGGGGCGAGCTGCGGGGCCTAGGGGCTCCGCACGGAGTCTGCGCCGAGCACTGGACCCTTCCTCATCTGTGACCTCCTTAGAGCTTCGTCCTCTGGGTCTAGAGAGCAGGCATCATTAATCTGAGCAGTTGGGGAAACTGAGGCCAGAGGCAGCAGCTAACGCGGGGTGGCCCAGAGCGCTCTACAGTCCAGCTTCCTTCCTAGTGTGGGGAGAGAGGGCTAGAGCTGGACTCAGAGGCTGGACTAGCCTTTGGGCTGCAAGGACAGTGGAAGGTGAGATTTTGGCTGGGACAGATGTCCAAGCTAAGTGGCCTTGGGGGAGAGGTCTGAAGGAAGAGAAGGATAAATGGGTCAATGTTGCCAGTAAAGGAAGAGCTGAAAATAACCTAGTTTTTCCTCCTCACCTCCAAATTGGAAAATGCCCACGGTCGGTTAGGAAAGAGGGAGAAGGGAGTCTGCAGGCATCAGAGGGGCAGCCTGCGTTCCCCGGGGTGAGGGGCAGTAAGGAGGAGAGTCCTTGGGGCAGAATGGAATTTTCTGCTGGGAAGGTTGCTCCTGCAAGAAGGGACAGGATTGAGAGGGCAATAGGTGGGGAAGAAAGGCCTCTGGAGAGGGAAACTGATGCCCTGCCTCGCTGGGGCCAGGCTAGCAAGAGTCCAGCAGGGCACCCGGGCTGGGAACAGCGGTCTTCCCATGGTAATACTCACCAGAGGCACTAGTGCTGGCCTCTACTCTGGGCTTCGAGCCCGTGGGATGGGGGCTCAGACTCCCTTTCTCTAGGCTGCTGTTCTCTCCCCTGACGGCTGTAGAGGTGACGACACTGCCTGGCACTCAGTAGATGCTGACTGAGTGGATGACTTTTGAAGAGCTCTACTTTCAGCAGCCAAGAGCTGGTGCCCTCTGCCTGGCCCTGGTTGACTCCAGAGCCATGGGCTCTAATTCTGCCTCTGCTGCAGGTCTGCTCTGTGGTCCCTGAGAGGCCTGGACCCCTGCAGAACCCCCGTCCTCTGGAGCTTTCCTTTTGGAGCTCTCAAAGTTTACCCCACCCCAGTTAATCTATTTGTCTCTAGGAAGATGTTGGTAGAGGTGATTGGCTCTGCTTCAAGGGTGTTAGGTGAATGATGGAATGAATTAACGAATATGTGCCAGAATAGAAAGGAATGAATGGAGGTGTTTTGGGCTGGATAATGAGGGTATTTGGTGACAGAGGGTGAAGCACCTGTCTAGCCCTTGTCAGATCACAACTGTCTCTTTCACCAACTTGAAAAGCTTGGGCCACAGGACTGTGGGGAGGACAAGAAGCAGGGTAAGGGTGGGATGAGCCACACAGGGATGTCGAAGGAGAGCTGGGGGATGCCAAAAGCCAACCTATGGCAATCTATGGCCCTTCTTAGGGCCATGGGCCCCTTCTGGATGAGAAGAGTGGAGCTGCTCTCCTGAGGGTGATTCCAATGGTGGGAGGGGAGGGGAGGGGAGAAGGTATATTATAGGATAATATAATCTCAGTTGAGGTTTGGTTCAGGCTGGGATTTGACACTCCCTGGATCCACAAGAGTTCTCACCAGAGAAGTGAGGGTTGAGGTAGAGATGGGTGGCTGGGGCAGATGACATCAGGATTTGCATCAGGGGACTGGGATAGGGAGGAAGCCACTGGGAAAGGGATATAGAGAAAGATGATGCCATGAGCTGGTGGGTGTAAGGCAGATGGGTGGGCTCCAGAATGGGAGTTAAGAAGAGGTGGCAGCAGGATCCAGAGAAAAGCCCTAGGCTGGTTATAGTCCCTGCTCCCTCCTCTCTTGTTTTGCAGCCACAATTTTATTTATTTTTGAGAGAGGGTCTTGCTGTGTCACCTGGGCTGGAGTGCAATGGTATGATCTTGGCTCACTGCAGCTTTGACCTTGCGGGCTCAAGTGATTCTCCCACCTCAGCCTCCCAGGTAGCTGGGACTACAGGTGCAGGTCACCATGCCTGGCTAATTTTTTTTAAAATTTTTTGTAGAGACGAGGTCTCACTCTGTTGCCCAGGCTGGTCTTAAACAACAATTATTTTATTTATTTTTTAATTGAGACGGGTATGGCTGGGCATGGTGGCTTACGCCTATGATATTAGCACTTTGGGAGGCCAAGGTGGGAAGATCGCTTGAGCTCAGAAGTTTGAGACCACTCTGGGCAACAGAGTGAGACCCCATCTCTCTCTCTCTTTTTTTTTTTTTTTTCTGAGACAGACTCTCGCTCTGTTGCCCAGGCTGGAGTGCAATGCTGCGATCTTGGCTCACTGCAACCTCCGCCTCCCGGGTTCAAGCGATTCTCCTGCCTCAGCCTCCTGAGTACCTGGGATTACAGGAGCGCGCCACCATGTCCGACTAATATTTTGTATTTTTAGTAGAGACGGGGTTTCACCATGTTGGTCAGGCTGGTCTTGGAACTCCTGACCTCGTGATCCGCCCGCCTTGGCCTCTCAAAGTGCTGGGATTACAGGCGTGAGCCACCGCGCCCAGCTGTCCCCATCACTTAAAAAAAAAGTTAAAAAAATTAACATTAAAATATATATAAATTGAGACGGGTTCTTTTTTCTTTTCTTGAGATGGAGTTTTGCTCTTGTTGCCCAGGCTGGCGTGCAATGGAGCAATCTTGGCTCACCGCAACCTCCCGCTCCCAGGTTCAAGTGATTCTCCTGCCTCAGCCTCCTGAGTAGCTGGGATTACAGGTATGCACCACCACCCTGGCTAATTTTGTATTCTTAGTAGAGATGGAGTTTCTGCATGTTGGTCAGGCTGTTCTCAAACTCCTGACCTCAGGTGATCCGCCCGCCTCAGCCTCCCAAAATGCTGGGATTTCAGGAGTGAGCCACTGCGCCTGGCTGAGATAGGTTCTTACTCTGTCACCCAGGCTGGAGTGCAGTGGCACGATCTTGGCTCATTGCAGCCTGGGCTTAAGTGATCCTCCCCCGTCAGCCTGCCACCACGTGGCAGCTAATAAACAACAATAATTTTTATTTATTTTTATTTTTTGAAATGGAGTTTCACTCTTGTCACCCAAGCTGGAATGCAATGGTGCGATCTCGGCTCACTGCAACCTCCGCCTCCTGGGTTCAAGTGATTCTCCTGCCTCAGCCTCCTGAGTAGCTGGGATTACAGGCGTATGCCACCACACCAGGCTAATTTTTGTATTTTTAGTAGAGATGGCGTTGGCCAGGCTGGTCTTGAACTCCTGACCTCAAGTAATCCACCTGCCTCGGCCTCCCAAAATGCTGGGATTACAGGCGTGAGCCACGGTGCCCAGCCAACAACAATAATTTTAATAGCAGGTTCCTTTCACTGAGTGTAGTAGATGCTGTCAGTGGCCCACCCACACCTCCAGGCCTACCAGGAGGGCACCCACAGACAGTTCCTGACCAGGCGCCTACTTCCTGTGTCCCTCCTGAGGGCATTTTCAGCTATGGGAGTTAGTGTGGGGCAGGCCCAAAGGGCTGTAGAGTTAATACCCCCAGAGCAACCATCAGCCAATGGTCCAGAGTTAGGGGTAAATACCCCAGCTTTCTGGTCCCTCGATGGGAGCATTCCAATTCCCAATTCCAGGTCATGTTTCAGACTCAGAGAGACTCCAGCAGAGTTAAGTTCTCCATGGTGAAAACCCACTGGTATCTGTGCGCTTTTTTTTTTTTTTTTGAGACGGAGTCTCGCTCAGTCGCCCAGGCTGGAGTGCGGTGGCGCGATCTTGGCTCACCGCAAGCTCCGCCTCCCGGGTTCACGCCATTCTGCTGCCTCAGCCTCCTGAGTAGCTGGGACTACAGGCGCCCGCCACCACGCCCGGCTAATTTTTTTTTTTGTATTTTTAGTAGAGATGGGGTTTCACTGTGTTAGCCAGGATGGTCTCGATCTCCTGACCTCGTGATCCACCCATCTTGGCCCCCCAAAGTGCTGGGATTACAGGTGTGAGCCACTGCGCCCGGCCTATCTGTGCACTTTATTCTGTTTCCTCTCTTTGTCTCATTTCCCCGCTCGCTCACTCCGCTTCTTGGGATCACAACTCTCTCCTTCACCAGCTTGAAAAGCTTGGGCCCCAAGACTATGGGGAAGACAAGAGGCATGGTAAGGGTGGGATGAGCCACACAGGGATGCCGCAGGAGAGCTGGGGAAGGCTGGAAGCCAACCTAGGGCAGCCACAACCCTTCTTAGGGCCATGCAGCCCTTCTTAGGGCCATGTGTCCCTTCTGGATCAGAAAAGTTAATGCAGGAGTAGGATTTAAACTCAGAGCTATCTGGCTCCCAAACCCAGTCCTTAACCAGTATACTCTGCAGCCTCCCTTTCTCTGATTCTCTCTCAGCCTTTTTATTTTTATTTTTTAAGACAGAGGCTGTAGTGCGTGGTATGATCTCAGCTCCCTGCAACCTCTGCCTCCTGGGTTCAAGCGATTCTCCTGCCTCAGCCTCCTGAGTAGCTGGGACTACAGGTGTGCACTACCACACCCAGCTAGTTTTTTTGTATTTTTAGTAGAGACAGTTTCACCGTGTTGGCCAGGATGGTCTCGATCTCCTGACCTCGTGATCCACCCACCTCGGCCTCCCAAAGTGTTGGGATTACAGGCGTGAGCCACCGTGCCCGGCCTGAAGAGGCTCTTTCTAAATAATGGTGAGGATTTTGACAGGGTGAGATGGAAGTGGAGATGGAGGAGTGAGGGGGTGGGATCCAGTCAAAGATAAGAATGTGAACCAAGGTGAGGAGGTGGCGTAGGTGGAGCTTAGGGAAGGAAATGTACCAGGCTTGGTTGTGGATAAGGGTTTGTGATGGGAAGTTATGGTAAGGAGTGTGGGGCTTAACTGCTGAGCTAAGGAGCTTTTACCTTACAGTAGAGGAGAAGAAGGTGTGCTCAAAGCTGTATTTTAAGAAGATTACTCTGCAGATTGAAAAGCAGGAGAAAGAAGAGGGGAGAGGAAGGCAGATGGGTGAGAAGATACTGAAAGTGTCCAGATGAAAGTAAACTATCCAGGGGCAGTGAGAAAGGAAGAGACAGATGGGAGAGGGACTGAGAAGAGAGATTCAGAGACTGACAGAGTGAGCACACAGCTCACAATTTAATTAGCTTCCTGCTTTGCCAGTGGATTACAGGGAATTAGCAAAGCTCACAGTCTAGGGACCTTGCTGGGAGTTGAGGGGAAATTAATGAGAAAGACAACAACATGCCCCAGGGAGAAATGAAAGAGGAGGAATGTTAGCCAAGCAGAGATGCCAGCAGGAGAAACATACGTCTGGGCGCTGAGTCCCTGCCTTTCTCGGAGATTTCAGCCCTCCAGGGGAGCAGACTTTAGGGTTCCTGGTCACGCTCCTGGCCCCATTGCCCTTGGTTCCAATTCCTCTGAGCACTTGGTAAATGACCCCGGAGAGGGGAAGCTGGGAGTGCTTGTGAAGACCAAGTTCCCAACTCTCCCCTGGCCTTTTTCCCAGCAGGGCTCTAAGATCCCAACACTGGCCTTCCTAGAAGGCAGAACTGAATCCCCTGGGCCCCTTCTGCAGATGGACCAGGAGGTGACCTGCTCATGACCTGATGTGACAAATTGCATTTTCAAATGCGACAGTGTCATCTCCCATCCCACTTGCTCTTCTTACAATGTGACCTTGCCAGTCCTCATGAAAAGGAGGAGTTACGTTAGGTCATTGAAAGGTGATGCCGCTGCTGCCTGGATCTCTCTCTTGAAACCCTCATCCCTGGAGCCCAGCCATCAGACTGTGAGGAAGCCTAGGTCACATGGAAAGGCCACGTGTAAATATTGTGGCCAACAGTCCTAGTCAGGACCAGCTACATCATTTGCAGAGTCCAGTGCAAAATGAAATTGTGGAGTGGCTGGGCACAGTGGCTCATGCCTTTAATCCCAGCACTTTGGGAGGCCAAGGCAGGGAGATCACTTGAGGCCAAGAGTTTGAGACTGGCCTGGCCAACATGGCGAAACCCCGTCTCTAAAAAAAAAATACAAAAAGTGGCCAGGTGTGGTGGCTCACGCCTGTAATTCCAGCACTTTGGGAGGCCAAGGCGGGTGGATCACCAAAGGTCAGGAGCTCGAGACCAGCTTGACCAACATGGTGAAACCCCTTCTCTACTAAAAATACAAAAATTAGCCAGGTGTGGTGGCACGTGCCTGTAATCCCAGCTACTCAGGAGGCTGAGGCAGAAGAATCGCTTGAACTTGGGAGGCAGAGGTTGCAGTGAGCCGAGATCGCACCACTGCACTCCAGCCTGGGCAACAGAGCAAGACTCCATCTCAAAAAAAAAAAAAAAATTAGCCGGGCATGATGGCACTCACCTGTGGTCCCAGCTACTCGGGAGGCTGGGGCATGAGGATCGCTTGAACCTGGGAGGCAGAGGTTGCAGCAAGCCGAGATTGCACCACTGCTCTCCAGCCTAGGCGACAGGGCAAGACCCTGTCTTAAAAAAAAAAAGAAGGTGGAGGGTACTGTTAAAAAGTTAAGAATTTAGAGCTTTAAACCAAGCATATGGCTCTTCCAAGTGTGGCACCTTGCTCAGCCATGCAAGTTGTGGGGCCACGAAGCTGGCCCTGGCCCCAGCTGCGGTACCAGCATCACTGCAAGTGATGTGGATGTGAGGAAGCCTTCAAGAGGACACCAGGCCTGGCCTCTGACTGCAACTGTGTGAGCGGCCCTGAATGAGAACTGCCTAGCTGAACCTAGTACTCCACCAGACCCACAAGGAATAAAGATGATTGTTGCTGGGCTTTTTGTTGTTGTTGTTTGTTTGAGACGGAATCTCACTCTGTCACCCAGGCTGGAGTGCAGTGGCACGATCTCAGCTCACTGCAACCTCTGCCTCCCGGGTTCAAGCAGTTCTCTTGCCTCAGCCTCCCGAGTAGCTGAGATTACAGGCGCCTGCCACCACACCCGGCTAATTTTTTTTGTATTTTTAGTAGAGACGGGGTTTCACCGTATTGGCCAGGCTGGTCTTGAACTCCTGACTTCAAGTGATCCACCTGCCTCGGCCTCCCAAAGTGTTGAGATTATAGGTGTGAGCCACCGCGCCCAGCCGACTGTTGCTGTTTTAAACCAGTAAGTTTTGGGTTACTGTAGCAACAGAGAGTTGGAACACTGGGGTAACCAGACCTGATCAAAACTGGCTGAAGATGCAGGACAGCCACCAAGTTTCTCCCCATACCCAGGCTCATTCCCTGAACTGTTGTTGCATGTTCTCCTTGACCCATGTTAGCAGAAGACATTGGAGGCACAAATAACTCCAGACTGACAGGAGACCCAAATCCTATGTCTGGCTATGGAATGCTGCACATTGACACCAAGATCTGCACATCTTTGGGGACAAAAGTCAGCTTTTCAATTGGAGAGGTTGGAGAAAAAACCCACTCTTCTGTGAGCTGAAACAGTGGTAGTATTGGCACTGGCAGGAGACAGTGTTTGGGTCTCCATGGCCTGCAGGAAGGGAGAAAAGGAAGGCTGTGTCCTGCCAAGGTGAGTAACAGAGAGAAGCCCTGTGGCTTTTTTTCTTTTCTTTTCTTTTCTTTTCTTTTTTTGAGACAGAGTCTTGCTCTGTTGCCCAGGCTAGAGTACAGTGGCGCAATATCGGCTCACTGCAACCTCCGCCTCCCGGGTTCAAGCAATTCTCCTGCCTCAGCCTCCCAAGTAGCTGGGATTTCAGGTGCCCACCACTGCACCCCCGGCTAATTTTTGTATTTTTTTAGTAAAGGCGGGGTTTCACCATCTTTGCCAGACTGGTCTCAAACTCCTGACCTCTTGATCCACCTGCGTTGGCCTCCCAAAGTGTCCACCCACCTCGGCCTCCCAAAGTGCTGGGATTACAGGCATGAGCCACCTTGCCCGGCCAGCTTTTTTTTTTTTTTTTTTTTTTGAGACAGGGTCTCACTTTGTTGCCCACGCCTGCCTTGAACTCCTAGGCTCACACAATCCTCCTGCCTCAGCCTCCCAAGGAGCTGGGATTATAGGTGCATGCCACTACGTCTGGTCACATTCTGATTCTGACTGGTGAGGGGTTGTGTTGAATTGCTTTGTCTGTGTTCACCCCAGTGTAGTGCCTGCCAGAGTGTAGGTCAGAAGAGTCCTGAGTGACTGGTGAGACAACTTGAATGTAAACATAATCTACAACCCAGTTGAGTAACTGCTGGAGGAGGAGGGAAGGGGGCAGGGAGAGGCTTATAGCAATTTATCATTGCCCCCTCAGTTTTTTGTTTGTTTGTTTGTTTTTAAGACGGAGTCTTGCTCTGTCGCCCAGGCTGGAGTGCAGTGGCGCGATCTCGGCTCACTGCAACCTCCGCCTCCTGGGTTCATTCTCCTGCCTCAGCCTCCCGAGTAGCTGGGACTACATGCGCCCGCCACCACGCCCAGCTAATTTTTTGTATTTTTAGTAGAGACGGGGTTTCACCATGTTAGCCAGGATGGTCTCGATCTCCTGACTTCGTGATCCGCCCGCCTCAGCCTCCCAAAGTGCTGGGATTACAGGCTTGAGCCACCGCGCCTGGCCGGGGTGCCCCCTCAGTTTTTAAAAGAGTAGGCAGAAATACAAACCAGAAAGTGTGGGAGGATCACTTGAGCCCAATAGGTGGAGGCTGCAGTGAGCCAAGATGGCACACCTGCACTCCATTCCTTGTGGGCTGGGTGGAAATTAGGAAGAGAAATTAATTCTAAGTGGAGCAATGCAGCTAGGCTTAATCAGAGAGGTAACACCTAAACGAAGCAGTGAAGGCTGCACTGGACTTTGACAGGTAACAATAGACTGAAGAGCATTCTGGGAGAAAGGAGCAGGGAGCAGGAGGTAACGCTCTTAGGCAATTCAGAATCATGGTGAAGAGTAGTGTCTGGCATCAGACTGCTTCAGTTTGAATCCCAGCTTCTTCATTATTTGTATGACCTGTTTCCCCACCTGTGAAATGGGGATAATAAAAGTATGCCCCATTGCTGCAAGGATTAAAGACATTTAGCACAGAGACTGGTATACTGTGAGCACTCAGTATGTGTTGGCTGTTACTACTGTTTGGTGTGTTTGAAAAATGAGTAATAATATCGGTGTGGCTGCAGTATGGAATGTGGAGCTACTGATGGGAGATAGGCCCAGAAAAATGTGGTTGAATCCAATCATGAAGGATTTTTTATTTATTTATTTTTATTTTTTGAGACAGCGTTTCACTCTGCTTGCCCAGGCTGGAGTGCAATGGTGTGATCTCAGCTCACTGCAACCTCCGCCTCCCGGGTTCAAGAGATTCTCCTGCCTCAGCCTCCTGAGTAGCTGGGATTACAAGCATGTGCCACCACGCCTGGCTTATTTTGTATTTTTAGTAGAGACGGGGTTTCTCCATGTTGATCAGGCTGGTCTCGAACTCCGGACCTCAGGTGATCTGCCCACTTTGGCCTCCCAAAGTGCTGGGATTACAGGCCTGAACCACCACACCCAGTCTCATGAAGGATTTCAAGTGCCAGCCTATGCCATCCAGACTTTATTCTGGAAGCCAGGGGATGCCGATGCCAATCCTGTCAGACCAAACTTATAAGTATTGTGGGCTGGGCGTGGTGGCTCATGTCTGTAATCCCAACACTTTGGGAGCCCTAGGGTGGGAGGATTACTTGAGGCCAGGAGTTCGAGACCAGCCTTGGCAACATGGTGAGAACCCCGTCTCCACAAAAAAAAAAAAAAAAGAAAAAAATTAGCTGGGCTTGGTCGCACACACGCATAGTTCCAGCTACTCAGGAGGCTGAAGTGGGAGGATTGCTTGATCCCAGGAGGTTGAAGCTGCAGTGAGCCATGATTGCACCACTGCACTCCAGCCTGGGTAATAGAGCAAGACCCTCTCTCTCAAAAAAAAAAAAAAAATTATAAGATGCTATTGTTATTATTTTTACCTCTCAAACTGTCAAAGATCAATGAGGTTTATTATACATTCTATTGGTGAGATGTAGAGAAACAGACATTCATACATTTTTAGTAGGAGGGTAAAATGACACAATTGGACAGTATCTACCAAGTTTAAAAATGTGCATGCCCTTTAAGTCAGTGATTTTACTTCTTGAAGAGATGTTTTTCAGATACATGCCCACTTGTTGGGAATTACATCTTATTCATTTTAGCATGGCTTGTAATAGCAAACAGTTTGTAATAGCAATGACGTGTTATTTATTGCAGCATTGTTTGTAATAGCAAAATACTGGAAATAATCTACATGTCCGGCAAAAGGACCAATAAATTATGATACATATATACAGTAGAATACGATGCATCCCTACAAAAGAATGAGGAATCATTTTGTATACTGATGAAATAATCGCTAAGAAATGCTGTTAGTTAAGTGAAATAAAAAACAAGGTGCACAACATACCACCATTTATGTGAAAAAATAAAAAGCATGCATTTGCTTATGTGTACTTGGAATGAATACCTCTGAGGGGATCTATTAGAAACCATTAACAGCAGTTGCTGTTAATATGTCTCCCATATTTTTCTTTTTTGTTTTTTTTGTTTTTTTTTGAGACGGAGTCTTGCTCTATCTCCCAGGCTGGAGTGCAGTGGCGAGATCTTGGCTCACTGCAAGCTCCGCCTCCCAGGTTCACGCCATTCTCCTGCCTCAGCCTCCCGAGTAGCTGGGACTACAGGCGCCTGCCACCACGCCTGGCTAATTTTTTTGTATTTTTAGTAGAGACAGAGTTTTACCGGGTTAGCCAGGATGGTCTAGATCTGACCTCGTGATCCGCCCGCCTCGGCCTCCCAAAGTGTTGGGATTACAGGTGTGAGCCACCGTGCCCGGCTGTCTCCCATATTTTTCACTGTTTCACCCCTTTGTAACTAAAATAACAAGAGGTGGGGAGAGCCACTATCTTTTTAAGCAGCTGCTCCATTCCTACCGGTTTCTATTCAACCTGAGATCAGCTGCAAGCCCTTAGCCTTTTTCTCAGGCACCTCTGGCAAACCAAACTTCCTATATCCTATGCTTATGCAGCTGATTTTTTTTTTTTAATCTAAATGCAGGTCTCTCCACTTACTCTTTTAAATTTCATCCTGCTGGTTTCAGCCCACTGTTTCAAGTTATTTTAGAATCTTGACTTTGAAATATTAGCTTTTCATCCCAACAGTGGTGCCTTCTGCAAATTTGGCAAGTGTAGTGGGCACTGACCACTACTAGGCTGACCAGGGTCTAGGAGCACAGAACTAGAGATACTTCCTCAGCAAGCTCTGCAGCAATCGGATAACCAACTGGGGTGAAGGAGCACAGCAGTTACATGAATCCACCTGACTGGGCAGTCTCTGAGATCGATATTTTCCTACTAGCCTCTTCAATCGTGAGACAATCAATGTCTAACTGGAAACAAGGAACACTATGTATGGCCCAAGGAATTTTCCTAGTGGCCTTCTGAGTAAATAAGTAACAAATTATTGTTGATATTTTTATCATTTTCGCCGCATCTTGTTCTTTGTGAAGATACCACTTATTTTTCTAGGTGTTCTCAAGCAAGGTGTTCTCAAATCCATGGTTTAATGTTATATTCTAGAATAGATTTTGAGGGAAATGTGCCCAGGATCTCCCTTTTCTTCTTTTTTGTCAGGGTATTTGCAGCTGTCCAGGACTGTGGCCCCTGTCCTTTTCGCCGCAGCTTTCATAGCCACATTGGCAAAGGTCCCTGGATCTTATCTGCAAAGGTCTGTCATCACCTTGGGATTTGCAGCTCATTTTGAATGGCTAGGTGGTTAGGTTTTCTCTTATCTTTTCTTCTATTTGGGGTTTAATGTCCTCTAACCCCTGTTTTGCTGAACTCTTCCCAGTCTGGAAGTGCTTTTCCTCGGGGGAGAAAGAGGAAAATCAGAGTTGAGTATTCTGCTTTCTCTGAAAACTGCCAACCTGACATCTTCATCCCCAGATGGAACCCTGTCTTCTCCTTTTTCCTCTTGCTTGAACATAACCAGCAATATCTTTTATTGTCTGCACCTTTTCCAAGTCTCAGTTTATCACGGACTTCACCTTTCCTTCCGTCTCTTGTACCCCACCTTTTAAATTTTGAACTTATCAGAGAGCTCTCTACAGAGCCACACTGGTTTCTTTGGCTCTCCTTTTCTCTGCACAGGGATTTTCAGCAAATGCGATAGCCTAATTTATCCCAGAGCTTCCTATCCCTCTTGTGCCATATTGCCATCTTGTCTCTAAACTTAGAATCATAACTTTTTTCTAACTTTTCAAATCATTTTTCTGGGATTATTTATTTATCCAATCATCCATTCATCCCATGCCCACATGCCCTTCCTTCCAAATCCAACTTTCTCCTTTGGTTCCTGTCTCATCAACAGCACCAGGGGAGTCTTTCCCCATCAGAAGGAAGGTTGGGGGAGCAGCTCCCTGGCAGCTTTTTCTTCCAGCTGAGAGGAAACTGTCATTGATGAATGTGAAGAGTTTATCAGCCACTCAGCGACTAGCTGGGCGAGACTGTAGTTACCAGGACAGGGCAGTCTCCAGCTCAGTGCCTGCTGCTCTCAGAGCACGTCAGGCAGTCAGATGTGTGCTTCCCTGGGGACACGACTTCCACGAGCTCATCTAGCAGTCTCACCCTCAACACCTGGTTTCCTCCAATTTGGCAGTGTGCTGTGGTGTAAAGCTTGCAGGATGTGGACTCCAATATACCCAGGTTTGCATTCTAGTTTTGCTATTTACTAGCAAGTCACTTAAATCTTTATCTCTGAGCTTCCATTTCTCTCACTTAAAAAGTGAGAAAAAGTGGCTATTATCAGGCTCATGGGGTGATTGAGCTGACATATGTATGTACCTGTGCATGGAAGGTTTCAAACACACCAGCTTCTGTGCTCAGCTTAGCTTCATGGAGTCTCACGTGTCACATGTTCTGGGTGAACTGTTGTTTTTTTCCCTTTCTATTAAAACTGTTTCTTTTGGACAGGGTGTAATGTATGTCTTTGCCCAGTGAACCTTCCTTGGATGAGCCATGCATCCCACTAGAAAACAGTCCAGCTCTGAGAAGAGTGTGGGGGCGGAGGACAGGAAACAGAACAGAACAGCAGAATGTATGTGGTTCTGGGGCTGACCCTGGACCTCTACCCCTTCAGATGGGCCTGTGACTCAGGCCTGGCTAGCGTCTCCCAGACACACCAAATGCTTTACAGATGGGTGTGTGTTTCAAGCCAGAGTCCTCCTGGGGATTTTTGCTGGAGCTCTCCAAAGTGATTTTGCTCTTTCTCTGGAATCACAAGCTCTAAGAAGCCATGTGAGTGGAGCTGCCAGCTGGCATCTTGTTGCCATGTGGAGAGCCCGTCGGAGAGGGAAACCAGCCGAGGGGTGGGAAGACCGAATCCCGATGCCCTTGTTTGAACCCCCAGATTCACCACTGGCCATTTTTATTACTTGAGCCAATGTAGCCAGTTTGAGTTGGGCTTCTGGGCATCTAACTAACTGTTGAGCATACAATGTTGATCCTTTCATTATTATAATAAAACCACGAGTTCCCTCCTCTCATTAAGATTCATACTTCACTCTTCGTTAAAATCTGTGCTCCGATCATCATGCAGAAAAATACTGGGACGCAATGCATGTGCGTGCCATATTAGAAATTCCAGATTTGCAGACCCATATCAGAATCTGGGCTTTGCTATTTACCACCAGTCTTGGGCAAATCAATGAACCCTTCTGAGTCTCACTTTTCCACTACTAAAATGGGAGCAGTATTTAGCTTATATGGCTGTTTTATGGGTTGGAGCTAATGGCGACATGGGCAGGGCACATGGTGAGCCATCACTAAATATTACTAGGTGGTAGGAACATTTATGTTATGTCAGTAGCTTTGACTCTGACTATGCTGAATCTATATAATTCCTACACTTTGTTCCATGTCACATCTCTTAGCTACCATGGTATCCAGGCTTATGGTGGCTTTGACCAAGGAGAGGAGAAGAACTTGCAGGCTTTTGAGAAAGATGGGAGATGAGGAGGTGGACAGAAATTTCAAAGTTCGATTGGGGGAGATGATGGAATTAGTCTTGTTTAAAACACTTGTGACTGCAGAACTTTACACCCACTTTCTATTTATAAATAGCCCTGTCTCTCAGCTCAGCTCCTCCTGCACAAGGCTTCCGTGGAAGACAACAGACACAGAGAGCAGCTGCCAGTGCGGCACAAATGTACAGAGCAGAGGCTGTTGGGGAACTGGGGCTGCATGTGGGCTTGGGGCGGAAGGATTAAAGACGCTAGGTCAAGAAATCTTGGCCGATTGCGGTGGCTCATGCCTGTAATCCCAGCACTTTGGGAGGCTGAGGCAGGCAGATCATGAGGTCAGAAGATCAAGACCATCCTGGCTAACATGGTGAAACCCCATCTCTACTAAAAATACAAAAAATTAGCCGGGCGTGGTGGTGGGCACCTGTAGTCCCAGCTACTTGGGAGGCTGAGGCAGGAGAATGGCGTGAACCCGGGAGGCGGAGCTTGCAGTGAGCCGAGATCGTGCCACTGCCCTCCAGCCTGGGCGACAGAGCAAGACTCTGTCTCAAAAAAAAAAAAAAAAAAAAAGTAGGGTGTGGTGGTGCACACCTATAATCCCTGTTACTTGGGAGGCTGAGGCAGGAGAATCCTTGAACTTGGGGGGCGGAAGTTGCGGTGACCTGAGATCACGCCATTGCACTCCAGCTGGGGTAACAAGAGCAAAACTCTGTCTCAAAAAAAAAAAAAAAAAAAAAAGAAAAAAGAAAAAAAAATCTCAAGGAGCCCGGGCGCGGTGGCTCACGCTTATAATCCCAGCACTTTGGGAGGCCGAGGCGGGCGGATCACCTGAGGTCAGGAGTTTGAGACCAGCCTGGGCAACATGGCAAAACCCCGTCTCTACTAAAAATACAAAAAATTAGCCGGATGTGGTGGCAGGCACCTGTGATCCCAGCTACTCTTGGGAGGCTGAGGCAGGAGAATTGCTTGAACCTGGGAGGTGGAGGTTGCAGTGAGCCAAGATTGTGCCACTGCACTCCAGCCTGGGCGACAGAGTGAGATTCTGTATCAAAAAAAAAAAAAAAAAAAAAAAGCCAGGCATCATGGCAGGTGCCTATAATCCCAGCTACTAGGGAGGCTGAGGCAGGAGAATCACTTGAACCCGGGAGACGGAGGTTGCAGTGAGTTGGGATCGTGCCACTGCACTCCAGCCTGGGTGACAGAGCGAGACTCTGTCTCAAAAAAAAAAAAAAAAAAAAAAAAAGAAAAGAGAAGAAAAGAAATCTTAAGAAACCTGGGTCAAAAAGCAGTATTTTATCCTCTGCCAGAAGCCTGTGTAGGTAGAGGAGAGTCATGGCCATCCTCTGTACCCTGGTCAAAGATGGTAGAACTCCAGCTTTATCTACTGCCTACTGCCTTGAGCTGGCAGCAGGAAGACAAGATAGAGGCTGCAGCAACAGCTGAGCAGAGATGATGCCTAAAGGCGACGGGAAAGAAAGGGAGGTGACAAATTCAGAGGCGTTTCTGAGAATCCAGCAGTGATTTTCTAGAAGCAGAGGGAGGGGTAGGGAGGACACAAACTCATCTCCAGGGTTTCTAGCTTGGGGAATAGGGGCATAATGCTGTGTTTATAATAGAATTTAGAGTGCAAGTACCACCACAGGCTTGGGAAGAGGGCTTGAGATGTAACTCAGTTTGGGGATCCTCAAGGACATTCAGTGGATATTCAGTGGATACAGCTAGGAGGCAGCTGACTTTGTTCAACACACATCTGTGGAGTCTCTACCATGTGCCAGTCCCTGTTCTAGGTGCTCATTATATGGCAGAAATCCAGCTTTGAAGAAAGGTTAGGACAGTAAGAGATGCAATTCCACTTGCCTCCAAATGCTTTAGCCTTTACTAACGCCGTAACTTTGCCCATATTATTGTCTATACTTGGAAAGTAGCCCCTCCCTTCTAATTCTTAAAATTCTAATAACTATCACATACCAAATATTTACTCTATGCCAGACATGGTACTAAATCTAATACTCTAGGGTGGGCATGGTGGCTCATCCCTGTAATCCTAGCACTTTGGGAGGCCGAGGAGGGTGGATCACCTGAGGTCAGGAGTTTGAGACCAGCCTGGGTAACATGGCAAAACCCCGTCTCTACTAAAAATACAAAAGTTAGCCGGGTGTGATGGCACGTGCCTGTAATCCCAGCTACTCAGGAGGCTGAGGCATGAGAATCACTTGAACCCAGGAGGCAGAGGTTGCAGTGAGCCGAGATCGAGCCACTTCACTCCAGCCTGGGCGAAAGGGCAAAACTCCGTCTCAAAAAGAAAAGAAAACTGTAATGAGTATTACTTTGCATTCTAGACATGAGGAGCCTGAGGCTTAAAATGACCAACTTTCCCAAGGTCTCACAGCTAGTGACAGCTAGAAATTGCTGCCATCCCATCATCCTGCCACCCAAGATCCCCACTATCCTGACAAAGCCACAATCGGAGCCGCTTCTTCATGAAGTCTCTGATCTCCCCAAATGGATGTAAGCTTTCTCTCTGTGCATCCCATGGTGCTTGGTTCCGGCTTCTCATGCCGTATCCTGCTTTGTAGAACCATCATCAGAGAGTGTTAAAAGAGCTTCAACGAATACCTTCTTTCAGGGCACCAGGCCTCACTGTTGTACATATGGTTTCACTTAATCCTCCAATACTCCTAGAGTTTTATGTTCTTGTCATTCTGCCTCCCTGTCAGTGGACAGTAAGCGCCAAAGAGGACAGGGAGATTATAGGCCTTTGCATCCTCTGCTGCCCCTCGCACAGAACTCTGCCCAAGCTACTCACTTAATGACTGACAGTTGCATTTATAAACTCTAAATGTGAGCCCCTCAGGGGGAGGAAAGGCATGAGATTCCAGCAAAAAGTGAGCAGTCTGAGGTGAGGCATGGTTCTGTTGTTTCCATCTTCACCCTCTGTCTTTTTTCCAGCCAAAGGACACTCTCACCAGTCTGATGCCAGAAGGGCAGGGCCCCGGCTAGATGGCCAGCCAGAGTAGGTGCAGTGCTGGCTTGTCCTTATCCAACCTCTGGCTCTTCATGCTACTCTGTGTGGAAATAAAAGCAATACCTAATAGATTTTCCATGGAAATGTGGCACTGCCAGGGAATAGTCCATTCTCTTGGCTGCCTTGGCGAGGCAGAGGCTGGTGTTACAAACTTTTCTTTCGTCCACGTGTCATCTTGGAGACTTGGAGAGAGGACAAGATTTGTTTCCTTATTTGCTGCCTCTCAGGAAGCTGCTGAGTCCTGAATAACATCTGCAGGTCACACTGGTTTCTCTTCCTCTTCTTCCACTCTCTCAAGTACCAACCTCTAACCGTATTGTGGTATGGTACTGATCGGAATCTACTTAAAAACATTCTTTTTCAGAGTTGCAATAAGATGATTCCAGAGCAATTACAGTTTTCATGCAAAATCTGCTTAGTTCCAGACAAGAGATTTGGTGCCCAGAGTACAGAGGACTCTACTTAGACCAAGGCAAGATGGGCTCTTTGCAATTCCATCTTATAATCATGGGACACTGGCGACCAGAACACTTAACTCATGCACTGGAAGGGGTCTCCCTAGGACCTCTCTCTAGACAGCAAATGTATGAGGAAGCTGTCATATGGGGAAGATTGGATAGAAGGAAAACTTTCACTCACTTTAGAAAATTAATCCTCATTCTTAGCCAAGATAGTCTCCTGAAAAGAAGCTATTTTTTGGCCAGGCATAGTGGCTTACACCAGTAATCCCAGCACTCTGGGAGGCCTAGGTAGGCAGATGGCTTGAGTCCGGGAGTTCAAGACCAGCCTGGGCAACAATATAGCAAACCCTGTCTCTACTAAAAATACAAAAAAAAATTAGCCAGATGTGTGGGCCGGGCGCGGTGGCTCACGCCTGTAATCCCAGCACTTTGGGAGGCTGAGATGGGCGGATCATGAGGTCAGGAGATCAAGACCATCCTGGCTAACACAGTGAAACCCCGTCTCTACTAAAAATACAAAAAAATTAGCCGGGCGTGGTGGCGGGCACCTGTAGTCCCAGCTACTTGGGGGCTGACGCAGAATGGTGTGAACCTGGGAGGCAGAGGTTGCGGTGAGCCGAGATCGTGCCACTGCACTCCAGCCTGGGCAACAGGGCAAGACTCCATCTCAAAAAAAAAATTAGCCAGATGTGGTGGCGCACACTTGTAATCCCAGCTACTTGGGAGGCTGAGGTGGGAGAATCATCTGAGCTTGGGAAGTGGAGGCTGCAGTGAGCTGAGACTGCACCACTACACTTCAGTCCAGCCTGGGCAACCAGAGTGAGACCCTATCTCAAAAAAAAAAAAAAAAAGAAGTGCTAATTTTTGGTTGGTGGTAAAAGAATCTCTCACTGGCAACTTCCCCTCCAGGGCAAAAATCAGAGTGCAAGATTCTGACTCCTTTCAAGTTTAAAGGGAAAAATAAGATGAGAGATGAATAGAAGGGGGAAAAATATAAAATGAGATGTCACATGTGACTTTTTCCTTTAAGTCAAGATCTTGCTCTGTCACCCAGGCTGGAGTGCAGTGGCACAATGATAGCTCACCGCAGCCTCAAACTCCTGGGCTCAGGTTTCTCTGGCCCCAGCCTCCCAAGTAGCTGGGACTACAGATGTGTTCCACCATGCCTGGCTAATTTTTTTTTTTTTAGTTTTAGTAGAGACAGGATCTCACTATGTTGTCTAGGCTGGTCTCAAACTCCAGAACTCAAGTGATCCTCCCACCTTAGCCTCCCAAAGTGCTGGGATTGGCTGGGCACAGTGTTTTTGAGACTGTCTCAAAAACAAACAAAACAAAACAAAACAAAAAAACACAAAATGCTGGGATTACAGGCATAAGCTACTGCACCCAGCACTTGTGACTTCTTTAGGAAAGCCTAAACAGAGCTCTGAAAAGGAGGTAAGACAAATATCTTTGTATTTAAAAAAACAAAAACAAAAATGCCAAAATAGAAACTACCATGCCACCTTGGGAGGCAGCCTGAATGAACCCATCCATTCTGCAAGGATGTTTTAGAAGCACCCAGTAGAGGTGCTGACACATAGATCAGTTTCAAGAAATGTTACCAGCCAAATGTCTTAGGAGTTCTACTACACTGAACTAATGGTACCTCTAGGAAGATTTCTTCTCTAGGAAGAAATCCTTGCCATACAGTAACTTAGCTTTTCATCTATATAAACCATCATAATAGTCTAGAAAAGTAATGGTGATCATTTCTATTTTCAGTTGTTTCCGCTATTTATAATTCTGCAGAGGCAAGATCTGTCTTTCCTTATTTAAGACCATTCTACTCTGTTGGGAGCTTGTTCACTGCTTTGACTACAAATGCAGGCCCACTTTCCTCAGATGGATGGCTTACATAACATTTGGTTTGGCTGGGCACAGTGGCTCATGCCTGTAATCACAGCACTTTGGGAGGCCCAGGCAGATCATTTGAGGTCAGGAGTTCAAGACCAGCCTAGCCAACATGGTGAAAGCCCGTCTCTACTAAAAATACAAAAAAATGAGCCGCGGGTGGTGACATGCACCTGTAATCCCAGCTACTTGGGAGAGTGAGAAACGAGAATTGCTTGAACCCAGGAGGTGGAGGTTGCAGTGAGCCGAGATCAGCCACTGCAAGACAGAGAGAGACCTTGTCTCAAAAACAAACAAACAAACAAACAAACACAAAAACACAATGTGGTTTACTGGCTACAATTTTAGCATTTTATAGCCTCCACGAAAGAATAAAAATGCCTCGACTGGCTTCATGTCCTGGAAGAATTATTAAGGAAAAAAAAAAACCTTGGAATTTGATAGACCCTGGTTTGAATTCAGCCCTGAAAATTCCTGACTATGATTTCGAGTGAGTTGCTTAATTAGAGTCTCACATAAAACGAGGATGCCTATCCTACCAAAAAATCATGACAATTAGAACTTCTACAACAGGCTTGGCAGTCACTACTAACCAATCTGTTCTCCTGTCTTGCTCCCTTATCTGCCACAGTACCTTAAAATGACCACCTACAATTACTACCACTTGACCAGCTAGTTTTTCTTTTTTCTTTTTTTTTGAGACGGAGTTTTGCTTGTTGCCCAGGCTGGAGTGCAATGGCACCATTTTTGCCCACTGCAACCTCCGCCTCCCACGTTGAGGCAATTCTCCTGCCTCAGCCTCTTTTTTTTCTTTGAGACAGTCTTGCTCTGTTGCCCAGGCCGGAGTACGTTGGCGCAACCTTGGCTCACTGCAACCTCCACCTCCTGGGTTTCAGCGATTCTCCTGCTTCAGTCTCCTAAGTAGCTGGAATTATAGGCATGCGCCTCCATACCTAATTTTTGTAATTTTAGTAGAGATGGGGTTTCACCATGTTAGCCAGGCTGGTCTCGAACTCCTGGCCTCAAGTGATCTGCCCACCTCGGCCTCCCAAAGTTCTGGGATTACAGGCGTGAGCCACCGCACCCAGTCTTTTATTTTAATATACATTTTAAAGGCTAAGTGAAGCAGTGGAAAGGGAGAAGGAAAAAAAAATCTGTTAACTGGTTGTGATCAACTAGTTGCAATACTGCTGCACTTAGACCAGCCACGACCCCACTAGCTTTTCTATAAAGCCCAGTGAGGCTTTTTTTTTTTTTTTTTTTTTTTTTTTTTTGGCTCTCAGTTGACACCTAGGCTGGAGTGCAGTGGTGCGACCATAGGTCAGTACAGCCTCAACCTCCCAGGACTCAACCAGTCGTCCCACTTCAGCCTCCTGTGTAGCTGGCACTACAGGTGCACACCACCAAGCCTGGCTAATTTTTAAATTTTTGTGTTGAGAAAAGGTCTCACTATATTATCCAAGCAGGCTGTTTTAGTTGGCCTGTTTTAAAGGACTAAATATATATTTTTCCCCCACAGATTTTCAAATCAGAGAGAAGTAATGCTCCTGCTGTATAAAACATGAACTTGGTGTTGGATGTAGTTTTTGTCAGTTAGTTTGTACTATCATTACATGCTCTGAAGGAGGGAGAGTTTGAAGGCACAGCCCTCTCACCCAGTTGGGACTCTCAGTGACTTCACAAAGAGATGGCACTAGAACTGAATCTGACAGTACAGAAACATGTCACTGGCAAGAGGGGGAGGACATTTCTAGAATAGGAAATTATAGTTAAGTCAAGGTATGCTGAGGTAACAGAGATGATGGAATATAGGGCTTATGTTGAATGTTTCTTTCATCCTAAGGTTGCTTTTTTTTTTTTTTGAGACAGAGTTTCACTCTTGTTGACCAGGCGGGAGTGCAGTGGGGCAATCTCAGCTCACTGCAACCTCCACCTTCCGATTTCAAGCGATTCTCCTGCCTCAGCCTCCTGAGTAGCTGGGATTACAGGTGCCCGCCACCACGCCTAATTTTTGTATTAGTAGAGACAGGGTTTCACCATGTTGGTCAGGCTGGTCTCAAATTCCTGACCTCATGATCCACCCGCCTCGGCCTCCCAAATTGCTGGGATTACTAAGGTTGCTTTTTTACCCTAGTATTTTTATAATGATCCCCCAAAGTTCCAGGAAACCCATACCTTCTTTATTTTTAAGATGCAGTTTCACTCTTGTTGCCTAGGCTGGAGTGCAATGGCACGATCTCAGCTTACCGCAACCTCCGCTTCCTGGGTTCAAGCGATTCTCATGCCTCAGCCTCCCAAGTAGCTGGGATTACAGGCATGTGCCACCACGCCCAGCTAATTTTCCTCCCTTTATTTCTTTAAAAAATAGAGACAGGGTTTTACCATGTTGCCCGGGCTGGTCTTGAGCTCCTGGACTCAAGTGATCCACTGCCCCCAGCCCACCCCACACTCTTCTTAAGTCAAGGTTTCAATGGTCACCACATACTCTAGAGGAACAGTTTGTGGCAACTTAGCTTGGTACCACAAAGGAAAACCAGTTTCACAAGTGGCTTACTAGAGAACCCCTACTTTTCTTTTTCTTTTTTTTAAGAGACAGAGTCTCACTCTGTCACCCAGTGGCACAATCTTGGGTCACTGCAACCTCCAGCTCCCAGGTTCAAGCGATTCTCCTGCCTCAGCCTCCTGAACTACAGGTGCGTGCCACCATGCCCGACTAATTTTTTTGTATTTTTAGTAGATATATTGGCCAGGCTGGTCTCCAACTCTTGGCCTCAAGTGATCCACCTGCCTCAGCCTCCCAAAGTGTTAGGATTACAGGTATGGGCCACCACAACCAGCCTAAGTTCATATTACTTACTGAGTTCATTATTTCTTGCATGTGTTTCTTTTTTTTTCTTTTTTTTTTTTTTAAGAGATGGGAGTTTCACTCTTGTTGCCCAGGCTGGAGTGCAATGGCGTGATCTCAGTTCATTGCAACCTCCACCTCCTGGGTTTCAAGAGATTCTCCTGCCTCAGCCTCCCGCATAGCTGGGATTACAGGCATGTGCCACCATGCCCGGCTAATTTTGTTATTTTTAGTAGAGACAGGGTTTCTTCATGTTGGTCAGGATGGTCTCGAATTCTCGACCTCAGGTGAACCACCTGCCTCGGCCTCCCAAAGTGCTGTGATTGCAGGCATGAGCCATTGCGCCCGGTCGCATGTGTTTCTTAATGGCACCTACCTGCATTTCCTAGCCCCTGAATATCTTTAGACTTTTATGTTAGTAGCTTATAGTAAGATATTATGGAGGATCATAGGTATAGGACTCTGACTAGACCTCTAGCTTGGATGCAGCAAGACTGAAACAGCTGGACTAGTATTTTGAGCAATCCTAGGCCTTGGAGAAATTTCTCAGCCACCCAACTTGCACAGGAAAAACTGAAGCCTTGGCGTCCTCTGGTGGTAGACTGGTTATCAGAGTCAGACATGCTTCTCAACTAGGAATAGGCAAGCATGAAAGTTCACAGAAGCCACAGGATAAACATGGCACATTTTCCCAGATCATCTTTACTTAAAGATTTTTTGGGAGAAAAAGGTAGGCAGCAAACATTTTTATATTAAAACAAATGCAGATAGTAATATTGAAATAGTATATAAAATTGACATTACTTTTTGAGACAAAGGAAGAGACATCAAAGACATTTTAAGCCGAGCTCCTCATGAGCTTCCTAAACCCCAGGGGAGGGAAGAGACCCCTGCATTCTCGTTCTGTCTAATATTATCAGTGGGGCTGTTTTGACAGAGAAGTCTCAGAAGCAGCGAATTAAGTGCTTACTCATTTGGCAATGTCCCAGTGAGTTATATAAATAAGTGAAACCACAGGCTTTCTCATTTTAGAGCATTTTAACCTGCTTTTTAGAAGGCCTGAGTAAACAGAAGCTTTATGCTTGAGTTGAATTTTATTTTCTCCCAAAGTGATTTTTTTCCTCCTATAAATGTTAACATGCTTAACTGAGGGTATGGCATGTGAGGTGGTCAGTGTCCTAAGACCCATGTCGACTTGGGTTGGCATTACCAGACATGGAGTTACAAATATACTTTCCAAGGCTGTCATCAGAAATGCAAAACTACTCACCTTCGGCAACAATAACAAAAAGGAAACAAAACAAAAAACTGAAGAACAAAAGATTATATATAATTAGAACTGTATGGTGTAATTTAAGCACTGGCAAATACTTGGCTCTTAAAGA
The DNA here is from genome assembly GCF_000001405.40 of Homo sapiens. NCBI lineage: Eukaryota > Metazoa > Chordata > Mammalia > Primates > Hominidae > Homo > Homo sapiens. The sequence continues at coordinate 45,844 of NW_019805496.1, forward strand.
AGGGGGTTACTCCTGCAGGATCTGCTTTTCATATTTTATGTGAAAACAAGAACTTCCTTTGAGGAAAAAAGTGCCATTATACTTCCTTTCCAAATCTTGCTTATTTTCTGTAATTGTCTTTTTCTTTGTTGTTGCTGACCCTTTATCTTATTTATTTTTTTTCAGGTAGCCTCTTGAACTAGAGTAGGCTCAGAGGCTCCCTGTAGGTGACATTTTATTACTTTGCAATAACAGACTGAAGGGGCAGATCCTCACACAGACTTTCTAGGGTAATGTAGCAATGTACTGTCCTTTTCTTGAAGTATGAGAGACAAGGTCAATGAAATGTGCTTAGAAGCATAATGGGAGTCAGATTCTGGTGCATGCTACTGACATTTTAGGGTCTACCCAAGAAAAAGTAATTCATAACCTCCCATATAGTTTAATTTAGTGATTTTGTTAAGTTTTACAAAATTATTTCTCATTTTTCTTGGAATTCTACTCTTCATTTTACAAAGCCTTAAATTGAGACTCAAAAATCACATGACAAAGTGCCTGTAGCTTCAGGAAAATACAACTTTTTTTCCCTTCTGGTTAAGTAAAATAAGAATTTGGAGCAAAAATATCCTAATTCAGAATAACTAAAGGGGGAGTATCAGTGGTAAGTTATGTTGTGCTGGAAAAAAGAACAAAAAAGGCAGACACCAAACACCTGAATTTTCCCAAGATTAAATGATTATTAAAAAAGCGCGCCACACTGTATAGAAATCAACATTCTCTCCCATAATTCTGTGCATCTGGGACTACAGAAATGTCACTGTCCCTGCCCCACATCTTCAAATTAACATTTTCAGGTCACAACAATAAGTCTTCCCAAAGGGGACCTTCCGGAAAAATAAGCTATTTCCTCGGCTCATATTCCCCTGGAAAACAAAACAAAACAAAACACAAATAATATCTAGCGAGATGAGATCAGCCAATCCAAATCAGCAGAGAGGTCCAATTGGGAGACGTGACTAAATCTAGGACAAAACTGGGACTATCACTACAGAACAAGGATTAGTATTCTCTGAAAGGCTGAGCTACTATGAACTAACTACAATTTCTCCTTATTAAGTTCTTACTCTGGGCAGACAGAACGCCCAGGTTGGATTCTGGCTTTGCCACTTTCCAGCTGGCTTAGCAAATGAGTCATGTAGAACAGTGCCTAACATTCAGTAAGTGCTAGCTTTCATTTATTTCTTTGTTTTTCTTTTTTGAGATGGAGTCTCGCTCTGTTGCCCAGGCTGTAGTGCAGTGGTGCAATCTCGGCTCACTGCAACCTCTGCCTCCCAGGTTCAAGCGATTCTCCTGCCTCAGCCTCCTAAGTAGCTGGGAAAGGAACGCGCCACCGTGCCTGGCTAATTTTTGTACTTTTAGTGGAGGTGGGGTTTCACCATATTGGCCAGGCTGGTCTCAAACTCCTGACCTCAAGTGATCCGCCTATCTTGGCCTCCCAAAAGTGCAGGGATTACGGGTGTGATCCACCATACCCGGCCTATTTATTTCTTAATGAAATGAAATCATGTTTCTAAGGACTACTTATAAAATCTTATAATCAAAGTAATAACAACCTGGACAACATAGCAAGACCCCATCTCTACAAGAAATTAAAAAATTAAAGGCCGGGTGTGATGGTTCACACCGGTAATCCTAGCACTTTGAGAGACCAAGGCAGGAGGATCACTTGAGCTCAGGAATTTGAGACCAGCCTGCACAACATGGCAAAACCCCGTTGCTACAAAAAATACAAAAAATTGGGCAGACATGGTGGCTCACGCCTGTAATCTCAGCACTTTGGGAGGCTGAGGCAGGCAGATCACCTGAGGTCAGGAGTTCGAGACCAGCCTGACTAACATAGTGAAACCCCATCTCTACTAAAAATACAAAAATTAGCCGGGCGTAGTGGCGGACACCTGTAATCCCAGCTACTCAGGAGGCTGAGGCAGGGGAATTGCTTGAACCTGGGAGGTGAAGGTTGCAGTGAGCCAAGATCGTGCTATTGCACTCTAGCCTGGATGACAGAGCAAGCCTCCGTCTCAAACAAAACAAAACAAAACAAAACAAAAAAACAAACAAACAAAAAACAAAAAACAGGGGTGAGGGGGGAGGGATAGCATTAGGAGATATACCTAATGCTAAATGATGAGTTAATGGGTGCAGCACACCAACACGGCACATGTATACATATGTAACAAACCTGCACGTTGTGCACATGTACCCTAAAACTTAAAAGTATAATAATAATAAAATTAAAAAAAACAAAAAACAAAAAACAAAAAAATGAGCTGGGCTTAGCGGTATGTGCCTGTAGTCCAAGCTACCTGGGATGCTGAGGTGGGACGATCACTTGAGCCAGAGACCTCAGCCAGGAGGCAGAGGTTGCAGTGAGCCAATACCATGCCACTGCACTCCAGCCTGGGTGACAGAGTGAGACCCTGTCTCAAAAACAAAACAAAACAAAAAAATTAACAGGACATGGTGGAAGCATGCCTGTAGTCCTAGCTACTTGGGAGGCTGAGGTAGGAGGATTGCTTTACCCCAGGAGTTTGAGGCTACAGTGAGTTGTGATGCCACCACTGCACACCAGCCTGGGCGACAGAGCTTGTCTCTAAAAAATAAAGAACCAAATAAGTAAATAAAAATAAAGTAATAATGTTCTGAGTGCAACTGAGTACACTCTGGAGTATAAATCTGAGCCTTCCCAAATATAGGCCATGTGACCTTGCATTATGTAATTGGCACTAAACTGCTCTAAGCCCCAGTTTCTTCATATGTGAAATGGGTGATTAAGAATGACACCTATTCTCACACAGCTGTTTTGAGGATTACATGAGCTGATGTAAGAAAAGCTCTTAGCATGATATCTGGTATACAGTAAATGCCCAATCAAGATTTGCTGTTGTTGTAAGCACCTACAGGAACAACTGTTCCTACTTTAAGTGTGTTTGACACCGTAATCCATTCTCTGTCTGCTTTCTTCCTATAACAGAGTGTTAGTCAGAAAAGGAAGGAAGGAAAGGCCATTTTTTCCATTTAAACAGGGACCACACTGTACAATAGAGAGTAAAACTCAGAATGAAATGCACAATGTTCATAGTAGGTCTGTACTGAAATCATTCAAGTATTCAAGCTTGGATTCACAGAGGGGCTTTGTGGGCACACTAAGCAAGAGCAACTACAAACAACACTTAGGCCTTTTCATTCAGATTTCAAAGGCCTTTCTCTTATATATCACTAGTGCTATAAAATAATGCAACAAAGAGCTTCTTTATACGCTTTCTTCTACAATCTTTTAAGAAGTGGACCCCCCTTCAAAAACAGCTTTAAACTGATAATCATTTTAAGTGATCCTGTGCTAAATTTAGCCCACAGCCAATCCATTTGTTGTTGTTATTGTCTTTTTTTTTTTTTGAGATGGAGTCTTGCTCTGTCACCCAGGCTGGAGTGCAGTGGCACAATCTTGGCTCACTGCAACCTCCACCTCCTGGGTTAAAGCAATTCTCTTCCCTCAGCCTCCCCAGTAGCTGGGACTACAGGCACACGCTGCTACGCCCAGCTAATTTCTTTTGTATTTTAGTAGAGATGGGGTTTCACTGCGTTGCCCAGGCTGGTCTCAAACTCCTGACCTCAAGTGATCTGCCCGCCTTGGCCTCCCAAAGTGCTGGGATTACACCTGTGAGCCACTGCACCTGGCCTGTAGTTTTTTGTTAAGAGACACGTCTGGCTGTGTTGCCCAGGCTGGCCTCAAACTCCTGGACTCATGTGATCCTCCTGGCTCAGCCTCCTGAGTAACTGGAACTATAGGCATGAGCCACCATACCTAGCCGTTATTTTATTTTCCTTTTTTGGATACAGGGTCTCACTCTGTCACCCAGGCTGAAGTGCGGTGATGCAATCTTGGCTCACTGCAGCCTTGACCTCCTGGGCTCAGGTGATCCTCCCACCTTAGCCTCCTGGGTAGCTGGGACTATAGGTGCTATGCCTGGCTAAGTTTTTGTATTTTCTGTAGCAATGAGGTCTCATCATGTTGCCTCAACTGGTCTCAAACTCCTAGGCTCAAGCAATTTGCCCACCTAGACCTCTCGAAGTGCTAGAATTATAAGCGTGAGCCACTGCACCCAGCCCATTATTTTATTTTCCAATAAAGCTTTGCCTAGATAATAAATAATTTTTTGTTGCAGATTATACACCTCATAGTAATAACAAACCCTAAATTGGTATCTAGGCAAAATCATCCACTAACAAGACTCTAGAAGTATAAGACCAGCTCTGTCAATACCACTGTGACAAATAAGTGGTTATGAAAGGTGAGTTTGGGGGAAAAAAAGAGTCTAAAATCAAGGCCATCATTTTACCAGGATAATAATCTACCTGGATCGTATTTGTAAGTTGAATGTGGGCACTCAAATGGCTTCTAGGTCTCATCTAGGGATTCTTTCTTCTTCATTACTCCTGCTCATGATTTCTAAACATCACATTTTACTATTATGCCAAAGTGAAAACACAGAACACTGTAAAGTGTACATTAACTGGCAGACTAGACTAACTCTAGCTAAAGTGAGCTACAAGAGTTAACTTGGGATTCCAGAGACAATATTTAAGAAAACAAATAAATAAAAATAAAACAAAATAAAATGAGAGAGACAGAGAAAAAGAAATACCTCTTTTTGTAGCATGCACCAACAGTCTATCCAAGACGTATATATTGGGGAGTAAGGAGGGCATCCACCAGCAAGACTAAAATAGAAAAAAACATGGAGCTATTCATGTTAATATTAACCATTCTCTTGAGACGTTGATAAACCTTGTCAAAATATTCTGCTGCACAGAAGATTCCCTGAGAGATCATTTTAGTTCAATGAAACAAATCATATTGAAGCAGGGGAACGATCAAGCATCCAAAAGAGAATTCCTCCCCTATATTTAGGTTTCAAATAAATAAATAAACATAAACTTCAACCTTAATTTCTAAAACATTTAGACTTTTCCTTTGTGGACAAATGAAACTCCAGAACACAGCATTTACATGATTAAAGAGCAGGGAAAGGTGGCCGGGCACGGTGGCTCACACCTGTAATTCCAGCACTTTGGGAGGCCAAGGCAGGTGGATCATTTGAGGTCAGGAGTTCAAGACCAGCCTGGCCAACATGGTGAAACCCCATCTCTACTGAAAATACAAAAACATGAGCTGGCATGGTGGCGCATGCCTGTAATCCCGGCTACTTGGGAGGCTAAGGCATGTGAATTGCTTCAACCCAGGAGGCGGAAGTTGCAGTGAGCCAAGATTGCACTACTGCACTCCAGCCTGGGTGACAGAGTAAGAACCAGTCTTTTTTAAAAAAAAAAAAAAAAAAAAAAGAGCAGGGAAAGGAGATTTAAAAACTAACTGGTGTTCACAAAGATACTAAACATGAAAACGGATATAAACAGTAGATATATATGTTCCTACTTAGGTATAATCACTTCATCTTGAAAAAACTGTAAATAATAATAATACATTTAATTCATCCTTCAAGTTTACACTGTGCTAAAAAATGGCAGTTGCTCTACGTATCAGAAAACATCACAGCTTGCCAGGAGTAACATGAAACAAACAAAACCAGAAAACAAACAATGTAAAATGTTCAAAACTCCACATAGCTATCTGATCTTATTTGAAAACAGTAACATGTTTAATGATATGTCAGGTACCATATGGGAAAAGAATTTTGAATTAAACAAAAAAGGCAAGGCTGGGTGCAGTGGCTCACGCCTGTAATCCCAGCACTTTAGGAGGTCGAGGAGGGTGGACCACTTGAGGTCAGGAGTTCGAGACCAGCCTGGCCAACATGGTGAAACACTGTCTCTACTAGAAATACAGAAATTAGCCGGGGGTGGTGGCAAGTGCCTATAATCCCAGCTACTCTGGAGGCTGAGGCAGGAGAAGTACTTGAACCCAGGAGGTGGAGGATGCAGTGAACCAAGATCGCGCCACCACAATCCAGCCTGAGCAACAGAGCAAGACTCTGTCTCAACAATAACAACAACAAAAAAATACAAAAAATTAGCCAGGCATGCTGGTGGGCACCTGTAATCCCAGCTACTCAGGAGGCTGAGGCAGGAGAATTGCTTGAACCTGGGAGGTGGAGGTTGCAGTGAGTCGAGATTGCACCACTGCACTATAGCCTGGGCAACAGAGTGAGACTCCATCTCAAAAAAAAAAAAAAAAAGGCAAAATTTTGCCCAACTCAGTAGAGTCACTTGGCATCTAGAATTTGGAAATCAATGGAGTCTACCACTATACCAAAACCTGCCCTTCTAACCAATACAGAGAAAAGGTCATCAAACTTTCCATAGACTAAATATCCTAATTCTGGTTCTTTAAAACTCACTTTCTCCATAAAGCCCCTAGGAAAAACAGGTATGGATTGTCATTTAATCCCTGATATACCTTTTGTCACTTTCATAGAAAAGATAAAGATTTAAAATAACAATATGTTGGCTGGGCATGGTGGCTCACCCCTGTAATCCCAGCACTTTAAGAGGCTGAGGAAGGAGAATCACTTGAGCCTAGAAATTTAAGAACAGCCTGGGCAACAAAGTGAGACCCTGTGTCTTCACAAAAAATAATTAGCCAGGCATGGTGGCATGCACATGTACTCCCAACTACTTGGGAAGCTGAGATGGGAGGATCCCTTGAGCTCAGGAGTTCAAGGCTGCAGTGAGCTAGGACTTCACCACCACATTGCAGCCCTATCTCTAAAAAAATTAAAAATAAATAAAAATAGGCCAGGTGCAGTGGCTCACGCCTTTAATTCCAGCGCTTTGGAAGTCCGAGGTAGGCAGATCACCGGAGGTCAGGAGTTCAGGACCAGTCTGGCCAACATAGCAAGACCCCATCTCTACTAAAAATGCAAAAATTAGCCCAGCATGGTGGCACATGCCTGTAATCACAACTTCTTGGGAAGCTGAGGCATGAGAACTGCTTGAATCCAGGAGGTGTCTGTTGTAATGGAGCGAGACTGCACCACTGCACTCCAGCCTGGGTGACAGAGTGAGATTCTGTCTCAAAAAACAAAAACAAAAACAAAAACAAAAACTATAAATAATAATAGTAATTGGCCTGGCATGGTGGTTCATGCCTGTAATCCCAGCACTTTGGGAGACTGAGGCGGGTGGATCACTTGAGGTCAGGAGTTCGAGACCAGCCTGGCCAACATGGTGAAACCCTGTCTCTACCAAAAATACAAAAATATTAGCTGGGCATGGTGGCGAATGCCTGTAATCCCAGCTACTCAGGAGGCTGAGGCGGGACAATCACTTGAATCCAGGAGGTGGAGGTCGCAGTGAGCCGAGATCATGCTACTGCACTCCAGCCTGGGCAACATAGCAAGACTCCATCTCAAAAAAAAAAAAAAAATAATAATAATTAATAAATAAATACAAATTGAGGCTGCTGCTGCATAGGGCATACAAAGAAAAAAATTAGGAATCTTCTAATGGTATCAATTATACTTTTCCTCCCCCCCTTTTTAAAAAAATACCAATCAGAGATTGATACTGATCATTCATCTTTCCTAAATTTCTACAAGGCTGCTCCGCCTGTCAGCATACAGTCAACCACCTACTAGAATAAGAAATACAAAGTGCTTACCCACAGTTGTTGACAGCCATAAGATTGGAGACAAGCACAAAGGGATAGGTCAACATACTCGCAAAAAACTGTAAAATGGAAACAAGGCAGCTGTTATTAGATCATTCCTAGTCTTTATTCTCCTTTCCTTTACCTTAAAGGCCTAGTGCCACTGCGGTGAGACACTCTAACACTTGTCTCGCTTCATCGGTACCCTGGAAAGACAACAGTTACAGTTTTGAGCCTGGAGATGCTTCTTCCTCTTAGCACACCACTGCATCCAACATTTTAACAAAAGGCCAGAAGAATTCTCTGATCCTGAGTAGCTGGGACTATAGGCGCACGCCACCATACCCAACTACTTTTTTTTTTTTTGAGATGGAGTTTCCCTCTTGTTGCCCACGCTGGAGTGTAATGGTGTGATATTGGCTCACTGCAACCTCCGCCTCCTGGGTTCAAGCGATTCTCCTGCAACCTCCGCCTCCTGGGGTTCAAGCGATTCTCCTGCCTCAGCCTCCCAAGTAGCTGGGATTACGGGCATGCACCACCATGCCCAGCTAATTTTGTAGTTTTAGTAGAGATGAGATTTCTCCAAATTGGCCAAGGTGGTGTCGAACTCCCGACCTCAGCCTCCCAAAGTGCTGGGATTACAGGAGTGAGCCACCGCGCCTGCCCCAGCTTTTTTTTTTTTTTTTCACTTTTGTAGAAATGGGGTCTTGCTCAGTTGCCCAGGCTGGTCTTGAACTCTTGGCCTCAAGTGATCCTCCTTCCTTGGCCTCCCGAAGTGCTGGGTTTACAGGTGTGAGCCACCATGTCTGGCCTGAACAATATTATTTCGGAGGAAAGGCACGCCCCTTATGAAAGCTAAGCAGTACCAAACCATGCAGGATGTGAGGCAGGGGTTCTGCCTTACTCTCTTTATTTTCACATGTGAGTCTGTGGTTCCTTCGAAAACTGAGTTATTCTCTCTTTTTTTTTGAGATGGAGTCTCACTCTGTCGCCCAGGCCGAAGTGCAGTGGCGTGATCTCAGCTCACTGCAGCCTCCATCTCCCAGGTTCCAGTGATTCTCCTGCCTCAGCCTCCCGAGTAGCTGGGATTACAGGCATGCACCACCACGCTCGGCTAATGTTAGTATTTTTAGTAGAGACGGGGATTCATCATGTTGGCCAGGCTGGTCTCGAACTCCTGACCTCAGGTGATCCGCCCACCTCACCTTCCCAAAGTGCTAGGATTACAGGCATGAGCCATGGCGCCTGGCCGAAAACTGAGTTATTCTTACCTTTGACAAATATAACAAATTTCAGGGAGATGTCCCAGTGAGACATCTGGTTATCTTAAAGCAGTGATGACACAAGCCAGATTTAAAAGGAAAACAAAACAAAACACAACTATTCCTAGAAGGTTAAAAGGATTTTAAAAAACTCACTCCTGTGACAGCTTGAGAATAACTCTTCATTTCATTCATGGTAGAAACCTAAAATAGGAAAAGAGCCTTAAATTAATTACCTACAACACTACAACACATCAATATATTCTTTTTTCCTTTTCTTTTCTTTTCTTTTTTTCTTTCAGACAGTGCCTCACTCTGTCACCCAGGCTGAAGTGCAGTGACCTCCTGAAGCACACATCACCACGCCCAGCTAATTTCAAAATATTTTTTAAGAAATGGTGTCTTTTTTTTTTTGAGATAAGGGTCTCCCTATGTTTGCCCAGGCTGGTCTCAAACTCCTGGGCTCAAGAGATCCTCCCACCTTGACCTCTCAAAGTGCTGAGATTATAGGCATAAGCCACTATGCCCAGCTAAGAGACGGTGTCTTGCTATGTTGCCTAGGCTGGTTTCAAACTCCTGGCTTCAGGCAAACCTCCCACCTAAGCCTCCTGAGTCGCTGGAATCATAGGCTGGAGCTACTGTGCCTTGCTCTCCATGTCAATATAGTCTATCTCTAAATTATCAGTTTGACAGCTTGAAAATTAATTTTTTTTTTTTTTTTGAGACAGGATCTCATCTCTCTTGTTGCCCAGGCTGGAGGTGCAGTGAGCTGTGATCTCACAACCTTGACCTCCTGGGCTCAAGTGACCCTCCCACTTCAGCCTCCCAAAGTGTTGGGATTACAGCATGAGCCACCACACCTGTCTAAAACTAATTTTGAGGACAAAACCATAAAACACTGATTATTAGAATAATAAGGCAGTGGTCAAAATGATCAACCTGATTCAATATTAACAGACAAATTCATATTATACTAAAATGCTTTAGGGACGAATGTAAAAGGATTTCAAATACTAAAGAAAATGAGATTGATAACCTTTTCACACATCCTAGAAATACAGTCCCTGGAAAACCACATTTATAGTATATCTAAGGGACAATTCACTACCTTTGTTTTACACAGCTAGCTTTCTACCAGATGCGTTGAAGAAAATCCCTCTCTGTACTCAAGAGGTTTACAACATGGATTTAGTCATATACCCTGTGATGTGTTCAATTTATCATCATGCTATGGAGCTGCCGACATACAAGAGGCCCCACAACTGCTGAGATAAGAAAGACAACTTCTAGATAAGACTGATTCTCAAAAGGCTGAGGTTTCTAGAAAGCCCAATACAGGCACCCTCTTAAGTCCAGATTAGATGAAAAGCCCCCGATACACCATAAAGATGTCCTGCTTTCCCAGGTTCTCTCAAGTTAAGTATCAGTAAAGAAGTGATCTCTTTAAAGCCCTGAAGTAACACAGGGCTAAGTCTCTTGGGTATACTCTGTCACATCTTACGGACTTTTAACGTGTATCGTTCTACAGTAAACAGTATCGTTCTACAGTGAACAGTATGCTCATTTCATTAGCATTTGAAAATTTGACTGATAATTTTTAGCTATATAATTGTTCAGTCTGGCATGTAGCAAACTGTCATCTTGTTTATTTATTTATTATTTATTTTTTGAAATGGAGTCTCCCTCTGTCACCCAGGCTGGAATGCAGTGGCGCGATCTTGGCTCACTGCAACCTCCGCCTCCTGGGTTCAAGCAATTCCCCTGCCTCAGCCTCCCAAGTAGCTGGGACTATAGGCACGCACCACCACGCCCAGCTAATTTTTTCTGTATTTTTAGTAGAGACGAGGTTTCACCATGTTGGCCAGGCTGGTCTCGAACTCTTGATCTCAGGTGATCCGCCCACATTGGCCTCCCAAAGTGCTGGGATTACAGGTGTGAGCCACCTCGCCCGGCCCATCTTACTTTAAAAGCTAATCTAGCTGCCAGATTAAAGCCAAGGTGAGCACATCTCACGAAGGTCACAACCTACCCCACTGTCCAGTGCATAGGTATTGACGAGGTAGGCCAGTGAGTTACACAGCCACAAAGAAAGGATGTCACCTAGAAGGCGAGGAACAAGACCCCTACATGAAGAAACAATAAAAATAAGAACCAAAAAATGTGATCAGTAACATGACAGGCTCTTCAGTACAAATGTTTGTCAAATAATTAGAGGTCACAAAACATTCTAGGGAAGTAAAAAAGGAATCAAACACCAGAATCCAGCCCGCATACCTAGTTCATTCTCGTTAACACAGCTGTACTTGAAGCTGATCTCCAGTGACTTTTGTTCCTATGTTTAAAATGCAGGTCGGCTATACCCTCAGTGGCTCACCTTACTATTCATAACTGTAAGCAGGGAGGCAAAAGATTTGCGAGGTGCTTTGCAGAAGAGACTTAAATATTGTTTTGCTTTGACTAGCTTAAAAAAATGATTTTGCTAAGCTATCTGATATTCATATTTGGCAGAGCAAAAGACGAGAAAAATTACAAAGCAAGAATGGTCCCAAGTACAGATACAGATGAGAGGCATCAAAAACCACATTTCTAGGGTCTGGGTGACCTAGGTGAGGCAGCATGGAATAGTGGGAAGAGCATTTCCCCACGGATTGAAGACCAGCTTCAAATGCCAGCTCCAGCACTCAGCAGCGATGTGACAGGCAGCAGATGAAACTCTCAGAGCATCAATGTTTTTTAATCTCTAAAGTGATACTAATTATAGCTGTCCTGCCTATCTCACAGGGTATTTATGATATTCAAAATCCGTATGGGGAGATACTCTGAAAATTAAAAAAAAAAAAACAAAAAACACCATTTCGGTAATGATGCAAAATTTTTCCTCATAGAAGAATGAGGGTAGTAGTCTAAGTTCTTCCAAAGTAAATTCAAGCCTTGCAAAAACTTACTCTTTTACGGTAAGGAAAATACAAGTTAAGATGATTTCCCCATTTTTCAACATTTAATTTTTCTCATTTTATTATCTATATAGAATTGGGAGTTTACTACAAGGGTAGAAACTTGGAATTAAGTCCTTTGTTAAAAAAAGAAATTCCTTATTTATTTATTAATTATTATTATTTTTTTGAGACGGAGTCTCACTCTGTCACCCGGGCTGGAGTACAGTGGTGCAATCTCAGCTCACTGCAACTTCCACCTCCCGGGTTCATGCAATTCTCCTGCCTCAGCCTCCCGAGTAGCTGGGATTACAGGCACACACCACCACACCTAGAGGTGGGGTTTTACCATGTTGGCCAGGCTGGTCTTGAACTCCTGACCTCAGGTGATCCAACCGCCTTGGCCTCTCAAAGTGCTGGGATTACAGGCGTGAGCCACCACGCCCGGCCTCAAATGTTTTAAGTATCTAGAAGTAAAGGTTTGGGATCTTTACAAGATAATTCTAGTCATATGGGGCCTAAATATGCCTTTCTGCAGAGAAAAAAGAAAAAAAAATAAGGGGCCTAAATAGAATGTAACGTGAGGTAAGCCCAGGGAGTACGTTTTCCCCAAGGATTAAACAAAGACTCACTATTCTTACTTTCAGAAAACGTTTCCCACTCATGCAAAAATTACACACTAATCAACATTTACTCACGCGAAAAATCCTAGAATGCCCTCTTCCCGATAGATGGTTATTATGGAATCACAAAGTCCACTACGTACACAAGAAGAAAAGGTAAAATATATTAAGATTCTTTTGGAGCTATAAACAAAATAATTTCAATTATCACATTGGACAAGGTCAAATCCACGACCTCCTTCCCTCACACTTTTCTAGCACTCTCTCACTCTGCAAAGATAGCTAAATTTGGAGATAGAAGTGAAAATATTAACTACCTAGGGGTATAGTCATATGGAGTCAGGGGCTCTGCAACTTACTCTGAAATCCTACGTAGGCTACTAAACCTGCCTGGGTATATTTTCTCCCATTTTATTGTTTTTTGTGCAGATCAAATGACATCAGATACGAATTTGTTCTACAAATTGTAAGGGTATCATAAAAATACAAAGTAGTATTATTCTAGTACTTTGGCTTCAAAAGATCTCCTTGAGTATGTGAAAACAAAAATACTTACCAGTACTTGGATTCTCTGCCAATGAACTGTACCATAGATCTCAGAGTGATCACTGTGGAATATAGAGAAAAGATGTTTACAACTATGTTAAGGCCAGGTGCGGTGGCTCACACCTGTAATCCCAGCACTTTGAGAGGCCGAGGTGGGCGGATCACCTGAGGTCAGGAGTTCAAGACTAGCCTGACCAATATGATGAAGCCCCATCTCTACTAAAAATACAAAAATTATCCAGGCGTGGTGGCATGCACCTGTAATCCCAGCTCCTTAGGAGGCTGAGACAGGAGTACTGCTTGAACCCGGAAGGCTGAGGTTGCAGTGAGCCAAGATTGTGCCATTGCACTCCAGCCTGGGCAACAAGAGTGAAACTCCGTCTCAAAAACAAAAAACAAACAAACAAAAAAAAACTATGTTAAGATAGATTTTGATAGCCCTGGGAAAAAAAAAGATTTTCCACCTAAAGACATTTTGCTATCTGGATAAATTGGATAAAAGCCAAAACAAGCAAGCAAACAAAAACATGCAGGCAAGGCATTTTAGTCAACTCCCACGTCAACCTATCTAAGTGGTCAGGAGAGATCAGGTTATAAAAGAAAGGTCAGTTGTCAACTGCAAACATACCATGGAAGGGATGTGTGATGAGGGTAGCAGCAGAACGAGCGATCATCTCTCGAGTTGTCTAGAAACAATCAACACACACTTCTGAAATCTAAACAAATGACACTCAAATGCCTGTGAGAAGGAATGTGGGTGGATATCGTGGTATAGGATAAGAAAGTGAATGACACAGCCCTCCTGCCCTGGCTGGAGTCAAGAAGAGTTTGAATGGGATGTGAAAGATCTCATTCATTGTCATTTTATCATACTTTTCACTCATGGATCTCAATGTTCTATTATAGTTACTTCTCAAAATTTCTCTGCAAAGCAGGCTTCTGTTGTTTTCTCAATTTTACAGGTAAGAGAAAAAAATAAAGAAACAGGAAAGGTCACCAACAAAGTCATTAAGCTGAAATAAAAAATATGAGGCCTTTATTGAGATTATTAAGTTGCTCTCTTATTGGTAAGTGATTTTGGAGAGTCTGACATCATTCTAGATAAATGACAGGCTCCATTTAGTCTCTACTCACATTTTTGGGAGAAGAGAACAATTTTGTTTTGTGACTACAACCCAGTAACTGTGCAGTATCTTAGAGCTGCTGTGTTTTTCCTAGTTTATCTTTCTACTCTAGGGCTCTGTAAGGAAGTAATAAAGAAAATTAAATTATAATCTTTGCATTTAGGTTCTGGGATTGCAAATGTAAGCAGGTCTACCATTGGCTTTTGCATTTTTTTTTTTTTTTTAGGACAGTCTTGCTCTGTCACCCACGCTGGAGTGCAGTGGCGCGAACTCGGTTCACTGCAAGCTCCGCCTCCCGGGTTCACGCCATTCTCCTGCCTCAGCCTCCCAAGTAGCTGGGACTACAGGCACCCGCCATCATGCCCGGCTAATTTTTTTTCTTTGTATTTTTTAGTAGAGACGGTTTCACCGTGTTAGCCAGGATGGTCTCGATCTCCTGACCTCATGATCCGCCCGCCTCGGCCTCCCAAAGTGCTGGGATTACAGGCATGAGCCACCGTGCCTGGCCGGCTTTTGCATTTAAACAGTATCTTTATGGTCACTGAGTTTTTTCTTTTCTTTTTTTTTGAGACAGAGTCTTGCTCTGTTGCCCGGGCTGGAGTGCAGTGGTGCGATCTCAGCTTGCTGCAACCTCCACCTCCCAGGTTCAAGTGATTCTCCCGCCTCAGCCTCCTGAGTAGCTGGGATTATAGGCACACACCACCATGCCCAGTTAATTTTTTTTGTATTTTTAGTAGAGATGGGATTTCGCCATGTTGGCCAAGCTGGTTTTGAATGCCTGACCTCGTGATCTGCCCGCCTCAGCCTCCCAAAGTGCTGGGATTATAGGTGTGAGCCACCACACCCGGCCTAGTCACTGAGTTTTAAGACAGCCCTCACCCCTTCTCCAAGGGCATAAGATCCTATGGGACTGGATGGGCAAACTAAGGAAAATACTAATTGCATAGTAATACATGTATCCCTGCTTTTTTTTTTTTTTTTGAGAGGGAGTCTCGCTGTCTCCCAGGCTGGAGTGCAGTGGCGCAGTCTTGGCTCACTGCAAGCTCCACCTCCCAGGTTCACGCCATGCTCTTGCCTCAGCCTCCCGAGTAGCTGGGACTACAGGCGCCTGCCACCATGCCCAGCTAATTTTTTTGTATTTTTCGTAGAGACGGGGTTTCACCGTGTTAGCCAGGGTGGTCTCAATCTCCTGACTTCGTGATCTGCCCGCCTCGGCCTCCCAAGGTGTTGGGATTACAGGTGTAAGCCACCACGCCCGGCCGTATCCCTGCTTTTAAGCAAACTAATTTCATGAAAATTTACAGAAAATAGAGCTAATTTATCTGGTTTCCAGACCTTTAGTAATGTTTGTTTTGGAATATATATATATATATATATTTTTTTTTTTTTTTTCTTGAGATGGAGTCTCACTCCTGTGGCCCAGGCTAGAGTGCAATGGTGCAATCTTGGCTCATTACAACCTCTGCCTCCCGGGTTCAAGCCATTCTCCTGCCTCAGCCCCCCAAGTAGCTGGGATTACAGACATGCGCCACCATGCCTGGCTAATTTTTGTATTTTTAGTAGAGACGGGGTTTCTCCATGTTGGTCAGGCTGGTCTCCAACTCCCAACCTCAGGTGATCCGCCCGCCTCGGCCTCTCAAAGTGCTGGGATTACAGGCATGAGCCACTGTGCCCGGCCTTTGGAATATGTATTTTGGATGGCTGCATTTCCTGGATAATTGTGACTTCATTAATGACAATTAAGACAATGTGAAGACTTAAGTAATAAGAGAATAGTTCTGAAAGCCAGGCACAGAAACACCTATGGCAGCATATGGGGGTGGGAAATGGGTGATGAGGAACTTTTCAGAGTCAGAAAAATGTCAAAAGAGCCTTTCTGCATAGATACTATCCAACATACAAAGGGCCTGGTCGCTATTTTAATACTTTTTTCTAAAGACAAGGTCTTGCTCTATCACACAGGCTGGAGTATGGTGGCACAATCATAGCTCACTGCAGCCTCAACTTCCTGGGCTTAAGTCATCTTCTCACCGCAGCCTCTCGAGTACCTGGGACTACAGATATGTGCCACCACACACCTAGCTAATTTTTCTATTTTTTTTGTAGAGAGGAAGTCTCACTATGTTGCATAGGCTGGTCTCTAACTCCTGGGGTCAAGTGATCTTCCTGCCTTGGCCTCCCAAAGTGCTGGGATTACAGGCGTGAGCCACCACACCTGGCCTATTTTAACACTTTTATTCCTGAGGTTTTCAACACTATTAGAAGACTTTCAGTATTCTAAAGACGGAATGTGTGGGCAAAATGAGTTTTCTTGAAATGCATCTATTCTGAACAGCAAGCACTGATCCTCTCTCTTTTTAATGTTATACATGTAGTAAAGCCCAAATTAATTTGAAGGTTTAATTTCATTTGGGAACAGACACTGAACACACAGGCCTGATGATTCTGATTCCATAGTTGCAACACCACAGTTTGATCTGGGCAAACAGCACAGGATGTAATTCATCTCTTACCTCCTTGATAACGTGGTCAAAGGAAGATGAGACTTCTTTCTGTACATTTCCAGGTCCTAACTCCTGGAAATCAAAATCAAAGAAAATAGAGATCTTGATTTTTTTTTTTTTTTTTTTTTTTGAGACAGAGTCTCGCTCTGTCGCCCAGGCTGGAGTGCAGTGGCACAATCTCGGCTCACTGCAAGCTCCACCGCCTGGGTACAAGTGCTTCTCCTGCCTCAGCCTCCCAAGTAGCTAGGATTACAGGTGCTCGCCACCACGCCCTGCTAATTTTTGTATTTTTAGTAGAGACGGGGTTTCACCGTGTTAGCCAGGATGGTCTCGATTTCCTGACCTCGTGATCTCCACCTGCCTCGGCCTCCCAAAGTGCTGGGATTACAGGCATGAGCCACCATGGGCGGCCGATCTTGACGGTTTTTATTTCTTTTGAGATAGGGTCTCACTCTGTCACTCACGCGGAGTGCAGTGATGTGATCATGGATCACTGCAGTCTTGACGTCCTGGACTCAAGTGATCCTCTCACCTCAACCTCCCATGTAGCTGAGATACAGAGGTATGTGCCACCAGGCCCCGCTAATCTTTGATTTTCTGTAGAGAAGGGGTCTATGTTGCCCAGGCTGGTCTCAAACTCTTAGATGCAAGTGATCCTCCCACCTTGGCCTCCGAAACTGCTAGGATTACAGGCATGAGCCACCATGCCCAGCCATCCTGATGGTTTCAAACAGAACTGTCCAAACTGGTGGCCACCCCATAGGACAACACTCACTGAGATGAATAGGAGACTGACTACTTGGCTTTTCTCCAAAAGAGGCCCCAAAAGCAGTAACAACTTGCAAGGGAAAGGCCCTCATGCTTAGAAATCAGCTCCAACATACCTCACCCTTGTCACTCTCCTGGTAATGCTATAGAAAAAAAGAAAAAGGATGATTAGGGTTATTACAGTGTCATGTGAAAGAAGACATAAAATGAAAACTCTACTGACAGAAAGTAAATTAGCTGAAGTTTTTTTTAAAGTTTTTGTTTTTTTTTTTAAGCTGCAAATCTTCAGTTAACTTCTACTCATTAATCAACTGGAAATATGGATCTCCAAGATAAACTTGTTGCTAAGTTTAACATATTGGTCAGTTGGAAGAAAAGCAAATGGTCATGAAAACTCTTCTTTGAAAAAAGAAAAGGGGACAGGTGTGGTTGCTCATGCCTGTAATCCCAGCACTTTAGGAGGCCGAGGTGGGCAGATCACCTGAGGTCAGGAGTTCAAGTCTAGCCTGGCCAACATGGTGAAACCCCATCTCTACTAAAAATACAAAAATTAGCGGAGCATTGGGGCGCACGCTTTTAATCCCAGCTCTTAGGGAGGCTGGGGCAGGAGAATCACTTGAACCCAGGAGGCAGAGGTTGCAGTGAGCCAAGATCACGCCACTGCACTGCAGCCCAGGTGACAGAGCAAGAGTCCGTCTCAAGAAAAAAAAAAAGAAAAGGGAAGGCTGGGTGCGGTAGCTCACGCCTATAATCTCAGCACTTTGGGAGGCCAAGGCAGGTGGATCACCTGAGGTTAGGAATTTGAGACCAGCCTGGCCTACGTGGTGAAACTCCATCTCTACTAAAAGTACAAAAATTAGCTGGGCTTGGTGGCGGGCGCCTGTAATCCCAGCTACTTGGGAAGCTGAGACAGGAGAATTGCTTGAACCCGGGGGGTAAAGACTGCAGTGAGCTGAGATCACATCACTGCACTCCAGCCTGGGCAACAGAGCAAGACTCCATCTCAGAAAAAAAGAAAAGGGGCCGGGCATGGTGCCTCACGCCTGTAATCCCAGCACTTTGCGTGGCTGAGGCAGGCGGATCACCTGACGTCAGGAGTTTGAGAACAGCCTGGCTGACATGGCGAAACCCCCTCTCTACTAAAAATACAAAAATTAGCTGGGCGTGGTGGTAGGTGCCTGTAATCCCAGCTACGTGGGAAGCTGGGGCAGGAGAATTGCTTGAACCCGGTAGGTGGAAGCTGCAGTGAGCCGAGACCATGCCATTGCACTCCAGCCTGGGCAACAAGAGTGAAACTCTGTCTCAAAAAAAAACAACAAAAAAACCCAAAAAACGAAAAGGGAACATGCGCAGTGACTCACGCCTGTAATCCCAACACTTTGGAAGGCCGAAGAGGGAGGACTGCTTGAGCCCAGGAATTCAAGACCAGACTGGGCAACATAGTGAGACTTTGTCTCTAAAAAAATAATAATAAATTTAAAGAAATAATTACAAAATAAGAACAACAACAAAAAAGAAAATTCAAGAACTCTGTTTTTTTTTTTTTTTTAGATGGAGTTTCACTCTTGTCACCCAGCTGGAGTGCAATGGTGCAATCTCGGCTCACTGCTGGAGTGCAATGGTTCAATCTCAGCTCACTACAACCTCTACCTCCCAGATTCAAGCGATTCTCCTGCCTCAGCCTCCTGAGTAGCTGGGATTACATGCGCCCACCACCACGCCTGGCTAACATCTGTATTTTTAGTAGAGACAGTGTTTCACCATGTTGGCCAGGCTGGTCTCAAACTGCTGACCTCGGCTGATCCACCCGCCTCAGCCTCCCAAAGTGCTGGGATTACAGGCATGAGCCACTGCGCCTGGCCAAGAACTTTCAGTTTTAACAGAAAATAAGTCAGTAAAAACATAGCCCAGGGTTCCCACTTTTCTCATGGAAAACGCATGACCAATACCAAATTAGGGCAAGACTCTTTTCTTCCCTGCATAAAAGGACAGAGAATTGATATTAAGACTGAAGAGCTGAAATCGCCTCACTTTCTCCTTTGTATCTGATGGTTTCTAAAACAAGCAAGAGGTTTTTTTTTTCTCTTCTAGAGAAGAGATCATGAATACTGCCAGAGCCCAGAGAAAAATTCTTGCAAGAGGAATTTTTTGTGGCGTATTTTGGAAATAGAATGTGAGCTAGGTGAAAATAAAATTATCAATTGAGAGCTCCTTCTTGTGTAACCACCAGTTTTATTGTTTTCTTATTTTTTAATGTCAGTTTTATTATTTTCTAGCCATATCAGATTTCAAAAATAGACAACATTTTCTCTTGTAAAAAGAATTGTGTTTAAAAAAATCACGGGCAAGAGAACAAATGTGAAGATAAAGCAAAGTAATGTATTTTGGCCAAATTCCAGGTCCTTGGCTAGAATTAATTCTAATAGCTTCAGGTCTCTAAATTTTCACTTGTTTCTATACTTTGTTATTTACTCCATCGATATAATTATCTAACCTGTCTTCTACATTTCCTGAATTTCATTTTAATTCTTGTTCAGTTTACAAAATTATTTCTTGTAAAGGTTAATAATTTTCTCAGCCCTGCATAGATCCTTCTTCTTGACTGTACAAGCAGCTTTGGATGCTAAGTGTAGTACCAACCCTGTAATATTTCACTGGACTACATTTGGAACATATTCAGGGTACCTGGTTACCTCAAGTTTGTCTTACTTTACAGTTACATAAAGTAACTTAGTCTCAAGCAGCACTTTCTCTTTTTCTCTAAGTCTATACACAAACCTCTTTGGCTAGATGACAACTGCCTTTCCATATGTAAATTTCATGGAAGTAACAGCAACAATTTCACTGAGTCCCGCCGGGCGCGGTGGCTCATGCTTGTAATCCCAGCACTTTGGGAGGCCGAGGCGGGCGGATCACGAGGTCAGGATATTGAGAACACGGTGAAACCCCGTCTCTACTAAAAATACAAAAAATCAGCCGGGCGTGGTGGCAGATGCCTGTAATCCCAGCTACTCAGGAGGTTGAGGGAGGAGAATTGCTTGAACCCAGGAGGCGGAGGTTGCAGTGAGCCGAGATCGTGCCATTGCACTCCAGCCTGGTCAACAGAGTGAGACTCTGTCTCAAAAAAAACCACATTAGAATTGGGGGCTATGTTAAAGCCTTAAAAAGTACACTGAGGACTGCAGGAACTGTTGCTATGTTTATATATATATGCAATTTTTTAGAGACAGGGTCTCACTGTTGCCCAGGCTGGAGTGCAGTGGTGTAATCACAGCTCACTGCAGCCTCAACCTCTCCAGCACAAGTGGTCCTCCCACCTCAGCCTCCCAGGGAGCTGGGACTTCAGGTGCATGCCACAACACCCAGCTAATTCTGTTTTTTAATTTTTTGTAGAGATGGGGTCTCACCATGTTGCCTAGAGGTTGGTCTGGAACTCCTAGGCTCAAGCAATCCTCCCACCTCAGCCTCCCAAAGTGTTGGGATTATAGGTGTGAGCCACTGCGCCTGGCCTAATTATTTATTTATTTATTATTTTTTGTAGAGATGGGGTTCTTCCTATGTTGCCTAAGCTGGTCTCCAACTCTCGACCTCAAGTGATCTTGCCACCTTGGCCTCCAGAAGCACTAGGATTACAGGTGTGAGCCACTGTGCCCAGCCAATACTGCTAGTTTTTTTTTTGAGATGGAGTCTCACTCTGTTGCCTAGGCTGGAGTGCAGTGGTGCCATCTCAGCTCACTGCAACCTCTGCCTCCTGGGTTCAAGTGATTCACTTGCCTGAGCCTCCTGAGTAGCTGGGATTACAGGTGTCCACCACCACTCCCGGGTAATTTTTGTATTTTTAGTAGACACAGGGTTTCACTGGTGTTGGCCAGGCTGGTCTCAAATTCCTGACCTCAGGTGATCCGCCCACCTTGGCCTCCCAAAGTGCTGGATTACAGAAGTGAGTCACAACTCTTAGCCTACTGCTACATTTTTGAGAGTTACACAAACAGTGACATACCCTTCGGCCGAGCACGGTGGCTCACTCCTGTAATCCCAGCACTTTGTGAGGCCAAGGCGGGCGGATCACGAGGTCAGGAGATCGAGACCATCCTGGCTAACGTGGTGAAACCCCGTCTCTACTAAAAATACAAAAACTTAGCTGGGCATGGTGGCACACGCCTGTAATCCTGGCTACTCGGGAGGCTGAGGCAGGAGAATCGCTTGAACCCGGGAGGCGGAGGTTGCAGTGAGCCGAGATCGTGCTACTGTACTCCAGCCGGGGCAACAGTGAGACTCGTTTCAAAAAACAAACAAACAAAAAAACATACCCTTAGTACCACTAGGAAATAGAATAAACTAGAAAACCCATTAGTTTTATATTGTGAATTACATTCATGCTGCAGAAACTTCCCTTCGATTGTTCTAAATGCTACAGACTTCTTATTCATAACACCTTTATAAAACACCAGAATTGCCCTTTATAAACAATTCTTTCTCCAGAAGTACGTTCTAAATACTAAGACTTCCTTAAAGGTTAATTCAGGTTAACCTACATAGTAATAGGTGCAAATGAGAAATCCGTACATTCAAAATTATATTACAATCTTTAGCATTAGAAGTAAAAAAATAGGCCTGGCGCGGTGGCTCACTCCTGTAATCCTAGCACTTTGGGAGGCCGAGGTGGGCAGATCACAAGGTCAGGCGTTCGAGACCAGCCTAGCCAACATGGCAAAACCCCGTCTCTACTAAAAATACAAAAATTAGCAGGGCGTGGTGGTGAGCACCTGTAATCCCAGCTACTTGGGAGGCTGAGGCAGGAGAAGTGCTTGTACCCAGGAGGTGGAGGTTGCAGTGAGCTGAGATCGCACCACTGCACTCCAGCTTGGGCGACAGAGTGAGACTCCGTCTCAAAAACAAAAAAAAAGTAACTTTGATGTTTTAAAAACATTTCGATTTCCAGTTCTTTGGAACTTGGAAAATAAAAACATTTTATTAAAAAATCTCAAGCATGCAGAAAAATTAATAATTTACCTATGCATCCACCACCAAGGCTAAACCGATGTTAACATTTTGCCCTTTTTTGCTTAACATCCCCTGCCTTCTTCCTTCTTTTTATTTTTTCAGACAGAGTCTCACTCTGTTGCCCAGGCTGGAGTGCAGTGGCACAATCTCGGCTCACTGTAACCTCCACCTCCTGGGTTCAAGCCATTCTCGTGCCTCAGTCTCCTGAGTTGCTGAGATTACAGGCATGCACCACCATGCCTGGCTAATTTCTGTATTTTTAGTAGAGACGGGATTTTGCCATGTTGCCCAGGCTGGCCTCAAACTCCTGGCCTCAAGTCATCCACCAGCCTCGGCCTCCCATACTGCTGTGATTACAGGCATGAGCCACTGCGCCCGGCCTTGCCTTCTTAAAATATTTTATTATTTTTTGAAACAAGGTCTCACTATGTTGCCAAAGGTGGTCTTGAACTCCTGGGCTCAAGCCATCCTCTCATTTGGTCATCTCTCAAAGTCCTGGGATTACAGGGGTGAGCCACTATGCCTGGCCTTGCGGTCTTAAAATAAAGTGCCACAGACAAAGCTGAAGTTTCATCTCTCATCCCTCCCTTTTCCCACAAGTAAACTACCATGCCTTCATGTACAATTTGGTGAGGCTTTTAAACTGTAAATATTTAGGCCGGGTGCGGTGGCTCACACCTGTAATCCCAGCACTTTGGGAGGCCGAGGCGGGTGGATCACAAGGTCAGGAGATTGAGACCATCCTGGTTAACATGGTGAAACCCTGTCTCTACTAAAAATACAAAAAAAATTAGCCGGGCGTGGTGATGGGCACTTGTAGTGCCAGCTACTCAAGAGGATGAGGCAGGAGAAAGGTGTGAACCCGGGAGGCAGAGCTTGCAGTGACCCGAGATCACGCCACTACACTCCAGCCTGGGCGTCAGAGCAAGTCTCCGTCTCAAAAAAAAAAAAAAAAAAAATTTAATATAACGCACAGAATAGTGCGCAAAACACAAAAGTACAAGTAAAAAATAATTAAAAGGCAAACATCCATATAGCCATAATCTAGGTCAAGGAAAATCCTTTTTTTCCCCAAGACAAAATCTCACTCTGTCACCCAAGCTGGAGTGCAGTGGTGCAATCCCAGCTCACCATAGCCTCGACCTAAGGGGCTCAAGTGATCTTCTCCCCTCTGCTTCCTGAGTATCGGGAACCACAGGCATGTAACATCACACCTGGCTAATGTTTTTTTTTTTTAAATTTTTGTAGAGGAGGTCTCACTATGTTGCCCAGGCTGGTCTCAAACTTCTGGGCTCAAGCAGTCCCCCAGCCTCAGCCTCCAAAAGTGCTGGGATGACAGACATGATCCACCAGTTCTAGCCAAGGAAAGTCATTGTCATTATCCCAGACATGTGGTTCCTCCTCTCCATCTCCCAACAAATAACCACTACCCTGAATTTTATGTTTACTTTGTTATATTCTTTTTTTTTTTTTTTTTGAGACGGAGTTTCGCACTTGTTGCCCAGGCTGGAGTGCAATGGCACCATCTTGGCTCACTGCAACCTCCGCCTCCCGGGTTTAAGCGATTCTCCAGCCTCAGCCTCCTGAGTAGCTGGGATTACAGGTGTGCACCACCACATCTGGCTAATTTTTTTGTATTATTAGTAGAGATGGGGTTTCACCATGTTGGCCAGCCTGGTCTCAAACTCCTGACCTCAGGTGATCCACCCGCCTCAGCCTCCCAAAGTGCTGGGATTATAGGCATGAGTCACTGCACCCAGCCAGTTATATTCTTTTTTTAAAAATATAAGTTTTTAATAAAAAATATTTTACCAGGTTAACACCAGAAATAAGAGGAAAATAACTTCAGAAAAAAAAAATGTATGTTTTAGTCAGCTTCCTTCTTCCTTTGAAGAAATAAACTGAGCTGTGTAGGTGATCAAATAAGTGCATGTATTTAATTTCTGCTCCAAATGACTGGGTCAGAGGAAGAAGGTATGTAGAGCAAAATAAAATACTTCAGGCTGGGCACAGTGGCTCATGCCTGTAATCCCAGCACTTTGGGAGGCCGAGGTGGGCAGATCACCTGAGGTCAGGAGATCAAGACCATCCTGGCTAACATGGCGAAACCCTGTCTCTACTAAAAATACAAAAAATTAGCCGGACGTGGTGGCACATGCCTATAATCTCAGCTACTAGGGAGGCTGAGGCAGGAGAACAGCATGAACCCGGGAGGCGGAGCTTGCAGTGAGCCGAGATCACGCCACTGCACTCCAGCCTGGGTGACAGAGCGAGACTCCATCTCAACAAAACAAAACAAAAAAAGAAAAAAAAAACCCCACTTCATTTTAAAGGAATTCCTGTTGCTTCCCAGGAAAGAAGATGTTTTAAGAAAATGTTTTTCGGCCGGGTGCGGCGGCTCATGCCTGTAATCCCAGCACTTTGGGAGGCCAAGGCAGGAGGATCACGAGGTCAGGAGATCGAGACCACCCTGGCTAACACGGTGAAACCCTGTCTCTACTAAAAATACAAAAAATTAGCCGGGCGCAGTGGCGGGAGCCTGTAGTCCTAGCTACTCAGGCTGATGCAGGAGAATGACGTGAACCCGGCAGGCGGAGTTTGCAGTGAGCCCAGATCGCACCACTACACTCCAGCCTGGGCGACAGAGTGAGACTCCATCTCAAAAAAAAAAAAAAAAAAAAAAGAAAGTGTTTTTCAAGAGGAAGAAAGGACAGGGTTATAAATGTATCTTTTAAATTGCTCTTGATATTTAGAACAAACTATGCATAACAGGTAAGCAACATCTATGGGAAGATTGATTTAATTTTCCTCTTACCTGTAAAACTTTACCATGGACCACAGTTCCAAGGACTCCCGAACACAGTCTTGGAGTTAAGCCTGTGAACAACCCGCGCCTCCCATCGATACTGGCAATGTGCTGAGCTAAGAACACAAGTCAGAGATGTTGTCAAGTTCTGGTCAAGAGAAATGGATATACTACAATTTCAAAGAAACAAGCTTTCTATATATTTTCTTTCAATAACAACTCCTGCCTATCACAGTCCTCAACGTCAT
The DNA here is from genome assembly GCF_000001405.40 of Homo sapiens. Taxonomy (NCBI): domain Eukaryota; kingdom Metazoa; phylum Chordata; class Mammalia; order Primates; family Hominidae; genus Homo; species Homo sapiens. The sequence continues at coordinate 71,304 of NW_019805496.1, forward strand.
GCAAACCCAAATAAATCAAAGGCACTTACCATAACTAAAGAGACCAGGAAGCTGACACACTTGCCGCCCAAAAATATTTCGTCCTATTGTTGGAGGAAGAGGCTCATATCCCACCTTTAAAAACAATGGAATATATCAATATTAAAGCAATATTTCCAGAAATGTCTTGCTTGCAAGGTCTTGAATAAAGAACACAATTTGGGTTATTTTTAAACACAAGTAAAAATGCAGCATAGGTTTTCCAAGGCAATGATGAAGCATCATTCTTGTAGGTTTTTCTTCTGTTGGTAATACTGAGTTCAATAAACTCCAAGTTTCATTTTGGTTCAAATTCTATGACGTAAACCATGTAGCTGAAATAGGCTAATATCAAACTGAAAGAAGGGAACTTTTGCGTTAGGAAAGCTACAGTTTACTAAGGGGGCTCAAAAATACCTTCTAAATAAAATCTAAGGCACATTTTGTATTTGAACAAAACTAGAAGACATCCATTACGCCAGCATCAGCTGCATATTTGGCAACCCAGACAAAACACTCAAAAGGCAAATGCAGATATAGCTGGATAATTCACTTAGGAAAGAATTACAAGCTAACTTCATGTTAGAAGAACAGGCTGTCGGTCGGGCGCAGTGGCTCATGCCTTGTAATCCCAGTACTTTGGGAGACCGAGGGGGATGGATCACCTGAGGTCAGGAGTTCGAGACCAGTCTGGCCAACATGGTGAAACCCTGTCTCTACTAGAACTAAAAAATTAGCCGGGCGTAGGGGCGGGCGCCTGTAATCTCAGCTACTTGGGAGGCTGAGGCAGGAGAATCACTTGAACCCGGGAGGCAGAGGTTGCAGTGAGCCGAGATTGTGTCACTGCACTCCAGCCGAGGCCGACAACAGCGAGACTCCATCTCAAAAACAAACAAACAAACGAACAAACAAAAAAACACAGGCTGTCATTAACAGCTAATGAAGTCCATTTTATATAGTTAATGATTACCATGGTCTTTGTACAATATACCCAGGATTTTTAACACTACAGATACTTGACAGAATGAATGCTGTAGGACATAGTTTTGATTATTGTTGTGACTCTTAATCTGTCCTATTAAGTAACTCCTGGGCTGGCGTGGTGGCTCATGCATGTAATCCCAGCACTTTGGGAGGCCAAGGTGGGCGGATCACCTGAGGTCAGGAGTTCAAGACCAGCCTGGCCAACATGGTGAAACCCTGTCTCTACTAAAAACACAAAAATTAGCCAGGTGTGGTGGCGGACACCTGTAATCCCAGCTACTCAGGAGGCTAAGGCAGGACAGTCGCTTGAACCTGGGAGGCGGAGGTTGCAGTGAGCCGAGATTGTGCCATTGCATGCCAGTCTGGGTGACAAGAGCAAAACTCCATCTCAAAAACAACAACAAATAAATAAACAAATAACTCCTGTCTGAGCTCCCTGAAAGTGCTACCAAGTAACCATTTTTATTTTTATTTAGTTACTTATTTATTTTTTGGAGACAGAGTTTCGCTCTTGTCGCCCAGGCTGGAGTGCAGTGGCACGATCTAGGTCACTGCAACCTCCATCTCCCAGGTTTAAGCCATTCTCGTACCTCAGCCTCCTGAGTAGCTGGGATTACAGGCACCCACCACCACACCCAGCCAATTTTTGTATTTTTAGTAGAGAGGGGGTTTTGCCATGTTGGCCAGGCTAGTCTTTAACTCCTGACCTCAGGTGAACCGCCTGTTTCAGGCTCCCAAAGTGTTGGGATTTACAGGCGTGAGCCACCGTGCCCGGCCCAAGTAACTATTTTTACAACTGAGCATTTGGGAATTTCACCAAAACTCCTGGGCTACTTGGCAACACATAGATGTTGTGAAATCAGAATTAAGAATATTCAAAGTTTTTGGGGCAAGAGCTCTGAACATCATTAGAAAACCCCGTCTCCCAGAGAAGTATTGAGTAGTGGGTTCTTTTTTGTTTTGTTTTGTTTTTTTGAGGCTGAGTTTTGCTCTGTTGCCCAGGCTGGAGTACAATGGCGCGATCTCGGCTCACTGCAACCTTCACCTCCCGGGTTCAAGCGATTCTCCTGCCTCAGCCTCCCGACTAGCTGGGATTACGTGCACGCACCACCACACCTGGCTATATTTTGTATTTTTAGTAGAGACGGGGTTTCACCATGTTGGTCAGACTGGTCTCAAACATCGACCTCGTGATCCGCTCACCTCGGCCTCCCAAAGTGCTGGGAAGGCGTGAGCGAACGCGCCCGGCCCCAAGGGTTCTTACTATATACTGCAACATGCTGTCACCTCCGATGCTATCTAGCCCCAAATGTGCCAATTCTGTTTTGGATGTTACAGTACATTCTAATCAGTCTTTGTTCTAAGTACAAAGAATTTATTTGCAATAGCCTTTAACATATGGAATCTGAATTCACACAGGTCTACTCAGCAAGAAATAATCTGGATTCCCAACAACTCAAGAATAAGAAATGGGGCCCTCTCTAGTGTCTTGCCTATTTTTTACAGAAAAGTAGACGGCGAGACAGGGGTTCTAAAAACTGTTCCATTCCTAGGCACAGTGCATGAGGTAATTATGTCAACTCTCAGTAAAAGCATAAAAAAAAGAATGACCTGCCCATTACAGGGATATAGCAAAGGAACTGGAAACACTAAGTCTATCACTTACTTGGCCTACCTGCATGTGAATATAAAATACCATGTAATAATTATTTGACAGTAGATTAGAAACTAACTCCCATGTTTAAACTCGCTAAAACTCAGCTTCACTAATTTCCAGCTCTGACAAATGTGATTTTCATTGTCAGGAGCCACATGGGCCGCTGCTGGAAAGCGCTCAATGCATCCTTCCGAAATCTGACAGAGCAACCCCTTCATTAACACTTCTGAATGAGCTCCTTGTGTTTCTCTCAGTATCTGGTGCGAAAACCTCGGAACAGAAAAGCAGTAGTAACAGTAGCATAAAAAGAAAAAAAAAAGGAATAAAAAATAAAATGTTGGTTCCCACCTAACTTCACATTTGTCTTCAACTGAGTATTTCGTGTTTTGCGTCTGAGATTTTGGGGGGAGTAGTGGTGAATGTGAATTTCGGAGGGGCGAGAGGGAGGGTTCGGAAGCCTTTGGTGGCGACCGGCCAGGATCCACCTCAGTGAAGAAGAACCAAAGTTCAGAGGATCCGCCGGGCAGGGCAGGGCCGGGTGGCGGTTGGCTAAGGGAGGAGAGGGCCTCAACGCTGGGCGGCGAGGCGAGGGCTCGGCGAGGCCCCCAAGCGGGGCCGCGGGACTGAGGAAGCTGTCCCTGCGGGGAGGTAAAGGGCAGCGGAGGAGCAGCAGCATCTCGGGAGAATGAAAGGCCCGCAAGGCTGAGCCGATCCTCAGGCGCCCTGAGCAGCAGCGACCGAACGGGGCGCCGGGCGGGGTAGGGAGCGGCGACGCCTCATACCTGGATGAGCACTTTCACGTACATGAGCGGCTGGGACAGGATGGTGAGACCGGAGCCCAGGAGCACCTGACTGGCCGCGTCCGCCATGATGGCACCCGCGGGCGGACGGACAGACAGACGGAGCCACCAAGCGACCCGGTGAGCCGGTCCTAGGTCACGTGCCAGGGCCGCCGGTTTCACTGGCCCGCCCGCGGCGCGCGCGCACGCACGCAGCAGCACGCGCCTCTCCGCCCAGTCCCCGCCCCCCCGTCCCGCCCCGAGAAACGGCAGGCGCTCGCGAGGGGGCGCTGAGGTCGGGGCGGGGCTTAAGGGACAGAGGCGCATGCGTTCTGCCGGGGGCTCGCCCTTCACCAGGAATGACGGTTTCTCTTGCACATGCGCTTCCAGGCCGCAAGTGTCCGGAAACAGAAGAATGGGAGTGTCAGTGGGGGAGTGTGACCGTGACGGCAGAGGCAAGGTCAGAGGACTGAAAAGAAATTGAAAAGGATTCTTCATTATGCTTCATCTCTGCACTTGCCTTTTGGGCATCATCAACATAGGATTCAAAAGATACTCAGCATCAGAGCCGTAACAGTCTCGTGACTGACAAACTCTAAATAAGTATAGCAAATAATGAATCCGCTAGCGAGTGGCTTTTCATTCATTTATTCGTTTGATTAATGTTATCTTTTCAGAAAAACCTTCTCTGACCATTCTAAAATTACCTCCCCCTTTTCTTTTTCTTTCTTTTTTTTTTTTTTTTTGAGACGGAGTCTCGCTCTGTCACCCAGGCTGGAGTGCAGTGGCCCGATCTCAGCTCACTGCAACCTTCGCCTCCCAGGTTCAAGCAATGCTCCTGCCTCAGCCTCCCTAGTAGCTGGGATTACACGCACACGCCACCACGCCCGGCTAATTTTTGTCTATTTAGTAGAGACGGGGTTTCACGATGTTGGCCGGGCTGGTCTCAAACTCCTGACCTCGTGATTCACCCGCCTTGGCCTCCCAAAGTGCTGGGATTACAGGAGTGAGGAGCCATCGCGCCTGGCCACCTCCCTCTTATTTTCTCCCACATTGTGCCCCGTCGTAGCATTATCACTGAAATTATGTCTCCTCCACTGGAATGAAAGCTCCATGAGTTCAGGAACCGTGACAGCCTCTGTTCACGGTTGTGTTTTCAGTGCCCAGCACATACGAGGTGCTCAATAAATATTTATTGCACAAGTGAACAAATACTTCAGTGCCTACCAGTCTACAGGCTATCAGAGGCAAAAGTGAAAAAGGCATTGTCCCTGCTCCTTCAGCCCCAGCTCACGTGTTCTATCAAACAACATTTGGTGAATCTGAGCTTGGAGCAGAGTGAAGTACTGTAGGGGAAAGACTTGGATTTGGATCCTGGCTTTTCCACTGCATCCATTTGTCATTTTAGCTACTTTAATTTCCAGTTTTTGTATCTAAATCTAACACTACTGTGTATCTCTCAGGGTTATTATGAGCATTAAGTGAAATTATGCATAGGAAAGGGTTTTTTTTAAAAAACTTTATATTGAAATACAGATATTGGCTGGGCACGGTGGCTCACACCTGTAATCCCAACACTTTAGAAGGCTGAGGTGGGTGGATCACCTGAGGTCGGGAGTTCAAGACCAGCCTGACCGACATGGTGAAACCCCATCTGTACTAAAAGTACAAAAATTAGTTGGGTGTGATGGCGGGTGCCTGTAATCCCAGCTACTCGGGAGGCTGAGGCAGGAGAATCGCTTGAACTCGGGAGTTGGAGGTTGCAGTGAGCCAAGATTGCGCCATTGCACTCCAGCCTGGGTGACAGGGCGAGACTCAGTCTCAAAAGAATAAATAAATAAAAAATAAAGTTGTAAGAAACAAGTTGCTTCTAACTGAATCTAGAAACATAAAGCTGAGCCAGAGAGACTATTTAGCAGGGGATTCTTTTCTTTTTTTTTTTGAGACAGGGTCTCTCTTTGTCACCCAGGCTGGAGTGCAGTGGTGCAATCTCGGCTCACTGCAACCTCCACCTCCTGGGCTCAAGCGATCCTCCTACCTTAGTCTCCCAATTAGCTGGGACCACAGGTGTGCACCACCATGCCCAGCTATTTTTTTTGTATTTTTAGTAGAGATGGGGTCTCGCCATGTTGCCCCAGGCTGGTCTCAAACTCTTGAACTCAAGTGATCCACCTGCCTCCCAAAGTGCTGGGATTACAGGTGTGAGTCACCACACCTGGTTGGATTATTTATTCTTGGATTTGTGCATTGATGGTGCCAAATAATATTGCCTTGTCCCACTGATGCTAGTGAGCATGGGGAGGCACAGAGCCTCTTGCCAGGGGTGGGTGGTTGGGGGATTCAGTCTGCTCCACAATATTTTCCAATGGTGTGAGGCAGAAGCTGCTGATGAGGTTTTGGGAAGAATCTGCAGAGAATAGGTAACCGAAGTCAGCAGTATAGATAAGGGAAGAGGTGCTATGTACAGCTGCCTAGGCTGTGCACTGCATAACTCAGAGTGGGGCCAGTCACAAAGACTATGATCTGAATGGCATTCCCTGATACAGTTCAGTATGATGACCCTAAGATGGGTTATATTTGCTGACCCATATTGCAGTGGTGAGAGGAATAACGGAAGTCAAAAGGGGCAGAATTAACTGGGAAGGAAACAGAACTAGAACAGCATGTCACTGAAGTCAACAGAAAAGTTTGGAAAAAGAAAGGATAGTCAATATGTCAAAAGCTTCCAAGAGGTCAATAATGAAGCCCAGAAGCCGGGCGCGGTGGCTCACGCCTGTAATCCCAGCACTTTGGGAGGCTGAGGTGGGCGGATCACCTGAGGTCAGGAGTTCAAGACCAGCCTGACCAACATGGAGATAACCCATCTCTACTAAAAAACAAAATTAGCCGGGCGTGGTGACACATGCCTATAATCCCAGGTACTCGGGAGGCTGAGGCAGGAGAATCGCTTGAACCCGGGAGGCGGAGGTTGCAGTGAGCCGAGATCATGCCATTGCACTCCAGCCTGGGCAACAAGAGTGAAACTCCATCTCAGAAAAAAATGAAGCCCAGGGAAGGCTGAATGGATTTACCAGTTAAAAGCCTCTTGGGAGCAGGGCACATGCCTGTAATCCCAGCACTTGGGTGGATTGCTTTGAGCTCGGGAGTTTGAGACCAGCCTGGGCAACATAGTGAAACCCCGTCTCTGCAAAAAAGAAAAAAAAATTAATTGAGCATGGTGGCTTGCACCTGTAGTCTCACCTTCTTAGGAGGCTGAGGTGGGAGGATTGCTCGAGCCTGGGAAGCAGAGGTTACAGTGAACCGAGATTGTACCACTGCACTCCAGCCTGGGGGACAGAGTAAGAGCCTGTCTTGAAGAAAAAAAAAAAAGTCTCCTGGACTGGGAGGCGGTCTGACTTGGGAGAGAGATCACGTAATTGTCCAGTGGGTTCTTCCTGCCTGCTGCACAGACAAAATCAGTTCACTGAGACTGTGGCATTACAGTAAAGAAAGAGTTTAATTAACACAGTGTGGGCCATGTGGAAGAACTTAAGTTATCGCTCAAATCACTCTCCCCGACGGCTCAGAGGTGAGGGTTTTTCAAGGATGCTTTGGTGGCAGGGGGCTCAAATGGGGAATGTTGATTGGTTGGGGATGAAATCATAGGGGTATAGAAAGCGGTCCTTGACAGCCTCTGGATGGAGGCCACAGGACCAGATGTCATGAGTGGTGGGTCTGAGTGGAGTCAGTAGCCACCAAAACATCTCAAAAAGGCAATCTTAGATTCTATGTTAGTGATGTTATCTCTGCCAGGTGTGATGGTTTACGTCTGTAATCCCAGCATTTCAGGCAGAGGTGGGAGGATAGTTTGAGACCTGCCTGGGCAACACAGCAAGACCCCATTTTCCACAAAAAGGAGAAAAATAAAAAGACCAAAAAACCTCAAGTAATTGAAAAACGTCGTAAAAGGCCAATCTTAAGTTGTACAATAGTGATGTTATCTATAGGAGTAATTGGGAAAGTTACTCCTATATCTCGTGATCGCCAGAATAATGACTAGCTATCGTTTAACTGGGCCTGTATCTTAGCAAAATTCAAGCCCCTGTCTTAATCCTAACCTGGTCCAAGGCTGTCCAGGCTGGTCTTGAACTTCTGTGCTCAAGTGACCCTCCCACCTCGGCCTCCCAAAGTGCTGGGATTACAGGCATGAACCAGCTTACCCAGCCGGCATATATTTATTATATTTATTTTGCCTTATAGGAAGACCTGAGTTCAAGGAGCCTTCTGAGTTGGATGAGGCTGTGACACAAGAGTCTTACCAAATACCTAGATTCTTTCCATCCCTGTGCTCTTCCTCCTTAGGCCGGTATCAAAATAGTTTTGAGCCTCATATGCAACACTGATAGTCAGAGGAAGAAGAGAGAAGGGTTTTTGTTTCTGTTTTTGTTTTTTTGAGACAGAGTTTCACTCTTGTTGACCACGCTGCAGTGCAATGGTGTGATCTTGGCTCACTGCAACCTCCGCCTCCCGGGTTCAAGGAGGTTGCCTCAGCCTCCCGAGTCGCTGGGATTACAGGCGCCCAACACCACGCCCAGCTAATTTTTGTTATTTTTAGTAGAGACGGGGTTTTGCCATGTTGGTCAGGCTGGTCTCGAACTCCCAACCTCAGGTGATCTGCCTGCCTTGGCCTTCCAAAGTGCTGGGATTACAGGTGTGAGTCACCGCGTCCAGCCTTCGAGAAGGTGTCTTTTTAAAAATAGTTCTCTCTTTTTTGGCACACCAAAGCTCATCACAAAATGGCTCTTTTTTTTTTTTTTTTTTTTTGAGACGGAGTCTCACGTTGTCACCCAAGCTGGAGTGGAATGGCACGATCTCGGCTCACTGCAACCTCTGTTCCCAGATTCAAGCGATTCTCCTGCCTCCTCCTCTTAAGTAGCTGGGACTATAGGAATGTGCCACCATGCCTGGCTAATTTTTTTTTTTGTAGTAGAGACGGGGTTTCACTGTATTAGCCAAGATGGTCTCGATCTCCCGACCTCGATGATCCGCCCGCCTCAACCTCCCAAAGTGCTGGGATTACAGGCATGAGCCACCATGCCTGGCTCTCAAATTGGCTCTTTTTGGAGGAAGAAACCTTTTCTCAGAAACCTCCCCAGCAGAATTCTCATGAATTACTGGACAGGAGTCACCCACCACCACCTAAACCAATGATTGGCTTAGACTAGTGGTTCTCAACAGGGTTAATTTTGGCCCTCAGGGGATACTTATCAAAGTCTGTGTTAGGGCTCCAAAACCAATACCCCAAAATGTATGGTATTTTGACATACTGAACTGAAAAAGCCTCAAGGTCTCCCTGGCTTTCACCCTCCTATAATCTCTCCAAAAACCTTTACCCTGGCCGGGCGTAGTGGCTCACGCCTGTAATCCCAGCACTTTAGGAGGCCTAGGCAGGAGGACTGTTTGAGTCCAGTAGTTCAAAACCAGCCTGGGCAACATAGTGACACCTGGCTCTACAAAAAAATAGAAAAAATAGGCCGGGCGCGGTGGCTGACGCCTGTAATCCCAACACTTTGGGAGGCCGAGGCGGGTGGATCACAAGGTCAGAAGATCGAGAACATCCTGGCTAACACGGTGAAACCCCATCTCTACTAAAAATACAAAAAAATTAGCCGGGTGTGGTGGTAGGCACCTGTAGTCCCAGCAACTTGGGAGGCTGAGGCAGGAGAATGCTGGGAAACTGGGAAGCGGAGCTTGCAGTGAGCTGAGATTGCGACACTGCACTCCGGCCTGGGCAAAACAGCAAGACTCCGTCTCAAAAAAAAAAAAAAAAAAAAAGAAGGAGAAGAAAAAATTAACTGGGCTTGTCGGTGTGTGCTTGTAGTCCCAGTGACTTAGGAGGCTGAGGTGGAAAGATTGCCAGGGAGGTTGAAGCTGCAGTGAGCCATGATCGTGCCGCTGCTGTGAGCCATGATCGTGCCGCTGCAGTGAGCCATGATCGTGCCACTGCACTCCAGCCTGGGCAACAGAGCAAGACCCTGTCTCAAAACAACAGCAAATTCCTCTTCTTCCCCCTCCTACAACCTGTTTTTCTAGGATGGTATATTAACTTCTGAACCACCTAGAGGGGTGGACAATCACTCTGTGATTCACACCATGCTAATGTCAATAAATTTCTATGCCTTTTTTTTCCAGTTAATCTGCCTTTTTTGAGTTGATTTTTCAGCAAAACTTCAGAGGGCAAAGGGGCCTTCCCTTGACCCCTGTATCTGGAGACATCAGTACTATACTTGTGGAGAAATCCTGTCCTGCCTAAGGATCTGGGTTGCTAGGGAGCCGACCACAATATCTACGAAAGGAAGGGAAGTCCTGACAGCTGGGGTTCTCGGGTTCTTTCCACCAACTTAAGTTCAATTTGTCTTAGAATGACTGAAAAGGGTCACCCAGCTAAAGGGATAGGCAAACTCTCTTTGCTGGCCTTACATTTTCCTCCTGTCCTTCTCGAGCTTCCTAAGAAGTATCTATATTGTCTTGCCGGGCGCGGTGGCTCATGCATGTAATCCTAGCACTTTGGGAGGCCAAGGTGGGAGGATCACCTGAGCTCAGGAGTTTGAGACCAGCCTGGCCAACACAATGAAACCTTGACTCTACTAAAATACAAAAAAATTAGCTGGGCATGGTGGCACACACCTGCAGTCTGAGCTACTCAGGAGGCTGAGGCAGGAGAATCGTTTGAACCCGGGAGGCAGAGGTTGCGTTGAGCCAAGATCAAGTCACTGCACTCCAGCCTGGGTGACAGAGTGAGACTCTGTCTCCAAAAATCAATCAATAAATAAAATAAAAAATAAAACTGTTATCTTGCATGTAAAACAGTTCCTTAGAGAGAACATCCTTTGAAAAGTATAGTTCCCCTGCATAGTGTCATGAGAAGCCCATCTCTTGCACAAAATCTGTGTGCTTTAGAGATTTATTTCAAATATCTCAGCTTGGGAGCCATATTTGGAAAGTATTTTCCCTTTTCCTTTTCAAGCATAGCAAATTTTTCTGGTTTGGTTAGGGTTCCACTAGCCTTTCAACATTACTTTCCTATCTTTGTTCGCTAGAGAAGTCTGAAAAATGACAAAGAACATGTTGCCTGGCAGCACAGTCGTGGATGCTGTCTTTGGATTCCAATCCTGAGAACTGGAGGAAAGGCAAAAATTATTCTCCTTCTTGGCATCGGTCCTTGTTTTCTTTTTTTCTTTTTTGTTTTTTTGAGACAGAGTTTTGCTCTTGTTGCCCAGGCTGGAGTGCAATGGCATGATCTGGGCCCACCACAACCTCCCAGGTTCAAGCAATTCTCCTGCCTCAGCCTCCCGAGTAGCTGGGATTGTAGGTGTGTGCCACCACACCCGGCTAATTTTGTACTTTTAGAAGAGACGAGGTTTCTCCAGGTTGGTCAGGCTGGTCTCGAACTCCTGACCTCAGGTGATCCGCCTGCCTCGGCCTCCCAAAGTGCTGGGATTACAGTCGTGAGCCACAGTGCCCAGCCTCAGTCATTGTTTTCAACACAGACTTAGGATCTCCCACACGACACTGGGGCACCTTAAGTCTCATTTTGCCAAAGGTGTAAATGATGCCACCCTTCTTTATGCCCTGGCCTTATGAAGTATGCGGTTTATTTCTTTAGTACACCCTGACCAGTTTCCAGAATGGACCTCAGTGATCTCATTTTCAAAATATCATATTGATTTTTTTTGTAAAAACATATATTTTTTTGAGATGGAGTCTTGCTCTGTTGCCCAGGCTGGAGTGCACTGGCGCAATCTCGGCTCATCACAGCCTCCACCTCCTGGGTTCAAGCGATTCTCCTGCCTCAGCCACCTGAGTAGCTGGGACTACAGGTGTGTGCCACCATGCCCAGCTAATTTTTGTATTTTTAGTAGAAACATGGTTTCACTATGTTGGCCAGGCTGGTCTCGAACTCCTGACCTCCTGACCTCGTGATCCGCCCACCTTGGCCTCCCAAAATGTTGGGATTACAGGCGTGAGCCACTGTGCCTGGTCTATTTTTTTGTAATATTTAAGTGCTGTTAATTTCCTTTCGCTGCTGTGAATATTACCACAAACTTAGTGGGTTAAAACAACACAAATTTATTATCATACCATTATGGAGGTCAGAAATCTGAAATGAGTCTTTATTTTTTCTTTTTTTGAGATGGAGTCTCACTCTGTCACCCAGGCTGGAGTGCAGTGGCATGATCTCAGCTCACTGCAACCTCCGCCTCCCGGGTTCGAGCAATTCTCCTGCCTCAGCCACCTGAGTAGCTGGGATTACAGGCGTGCAGCACCATGCCTGGCTAATTGTTGTATTTTTACTAGAGAGGGTTTCACCATGTTGACCAGGCTGGTCTCGAACTCCTGGGCTCAGGCAATCCTCCCACCTCGGCCTCCCAAAGTGCTGGGATTACAGGCCTGAGCCACTGCACCCTGCCTGAAATGAGTCTTTTTTTTTTTTTTTTTTTTGAGATGGAGTTTCGCTCTGTCACCCAGTCTGGAGTGCAGTGGCGCAATCTCGGCTTACTGCAACCTCCGCCTCCTGGGTTCAAGTGATTCTCCTGCCTCAGCCTCCCGAATAGCTGTGATTACAGGGGCCTGCCACCACACCTGGCTGATTTTTGTATTTTTAGTACAGACGGGGTTTCGCCATTTTGGCCAGGCTGGTCTCGAACTCCAGACCTCAGGTGAGCCACCCGACTTGGCCTCCCAAAGTCTGGGATTACCAGCATAAGCTTCCATGCCTGGCCTGAAATGAGTCTTAAAGGGTTAAAATCAAGGTGTTGCCAAGGCGCTATTCCTTCTGCAGTTTCCAGAGGAGAAACTGTGTCTTTCCCTTTTCAAGCTTCCAGAGGCCATCTGCATTCCTTGCCTTCTGGCCACTTCCTCCAACTTCAAAGGGCATCAGTTCAACCTCTTCTGTCTTCATGATAGAGGCAGGAGGCAGACAAATGCCTGGGCAGATAGGGAAGGGTCCCTGGTGAAAACCCCACCTTCAAGCCTAAAACAGCCTGAAGGCTAAAAGACCGGACTGCTTGTTCCAGATGAAACCTGCAACCCACAGGGAGATCTTCTGCCCTTGTTTGTTCGCCCTTTCCCTATTGATTGTCTCTGAATAATGCCTTTCAACCAATTGAATGTTGCCTTTCTGATACTACCCATGGCTTGTGTGGGCATGCCCGAATGCGCACTGGGGGGATCAGGGTGGAGCTACTAGGATTTCATGCTGTATGCTGGAGAGGAGCCTTGCCTCTTCAGCTCATGTGTGGGAGCCCTTGTATTCAGTTGTGAAGTGGAAACTGTTTTGTAGGACCCCTCTCCTTGCTGAAAGCTTTCCCTTCGTTTAATAAATTCTATTCTATTCTTCAATGTGGCCACATGCCTAATTTTTCCTGGTCATGAGACAAGAACCCAGATTTAGCTGAACTAAGGAGCATAAATCCTGGATCATTCACATGTCCTTTTTCTGAGTCTGATCCTCCTGCCTCCCTTTTATAAAGACCTTTATGCCCAACTGGTTATAAATCAGGGTTTCCACAGTCCTCTCCTAAGGTTTGATAATTTGCTAGTGTAAACTAAAAATAAAACCCCTGATATAGTTTGGACATTTATCCCTGTGCAAATGTCATGTTGAATTATGACCATGGATGCTGGAGGTGCAGCCTGGCGGGAGGTGTTTGGATCATGGGGGCGGATCCCTCATGGCTTGGTGCTGTCTTCGTGATAATTGAGTCCTCATGAGAGCTAGTCATTTAAAATTATGTGGCACCTCCCCCTCCCTCTCTCTCTCTCAATCCTGCTTTTGCTATGTGATGTTCCTCCTTCGCCTTCCTACATGATTGTAAGCTCCCTGAGGCCTCCCTAGAAGTTGAGCAGATGCCAGCATCATACTTCCTGTAAAGCCTACAGAGCTGAGCCAATTAAACCTCTTTTTTTTTTTTTTTTTTGAGATAGAGTTTCACTCTTGTTGCCCAGGCTGGAGTGCAATGGCACCATCTCAGCTCACCACAACCTCCACCTCCCCAGTTCAAGCGATTCTCCTCCCTTAGTAGAGATGGGGTTTCACCATGTTGGACAGGCTTGTCTCAAACTCCTGACCTCATGATCCGCCTGCCTCGGCCTCCCAAAGTGCTGGGATTACAGGCATGAGCCACCATGCCCCGCCTATCTAGCACCTTTTAAAAGTCTGAATGGGAAACATTTGCCACCTATTGCCTCTAAGGGTGGCCACCTATGAGACTTCATCTACATAATAAAACTACATACAATTTATCTACATAATAAAAACTTTTATTCCAGATCTGTCTATATAATAACTCTTTCAACCAATTGCCAATCAGAAAATCTCTGAATCCACCTATGACCTGGAAGCACTTCCCTCTCCCCAGTTTGAGTTGTCCTGCTTTTCTGGACCAATGTATACCCCACATTTTGTTGTTGTTGTTGTTGTTGAGACAGAGTCTTGTTCTGTTGCCCACGCAGAGTGCAGTGGTGTGATCTTGGCTCACTGCAGCTTTCACCTCCCGGGTTCAAGTGATTCTCCTTCCTCAACCTCCCAAGTAGCTGGGACTACAGGCACGTGTCACCATGCCCAGCTGATTGTTTGCATTTTAGTAGAGACAGGGTTTGGCCATGTTGGGCTGGCTGGTCTCACACTCCTGGCCTTAAGCAATCCTCCCGTCTTGGCTTCCCAAAATGCTGGAATTACAGGCATGAGCCACTGAGCCGGCACCCCATATGTATTGATTGATGTCTGCCTATAACTTCTGTCCCCCTAATATCAAGCTGTAATGCAACCACCTTGGGCACATGTGGCTGTGAACCACATAAGGACCTCCTGAGGCTGTGTCATGGGTCATGGTCCTCATATATGGCTCAGAATAAATCTCTTCAAATATTACATAAAGTTTGGCTCTTTTTGTCAACACTAGAACGGTTTGCAGAATTTAGGAAGACACTTTATTTTTTTGAGACAGAGTCTTACTCTGTCACCCAGGCTGGAGTGCAATGGCTCGATCTTGGCTCACTGCAACTTCTGCATCCTGGATTAAAGTGATTCTCCTGCCTCAACCTCCGAAGTAGCTGGGATTACAGGTGCGCACCACCATGCCTGGCTAATTTTTGTATTTTTAGTAGAGATGGGGTTTCTCCATGTTGGTCAGGCTGGTTTTGAACTCCCGACCTCAGGTGATCTGCCTGCCTTGGCGTCCCAAAGTGCTGGTATTACAGGCGTGAGCCACTGTGCCCGGCTCAAACCTCTTTTCTTTATAAACTACCCAGTCTCAAGTTATTTATTTATTTATTTATTTATTTTGAGATGGAGTCTCGCTCTGTTGCCCAGGCTGGAGTGCAGTGGTGTGATCTCGGCTCACTGCACTTTCCACCTCCTGCCACCATGCCCAGCTAATTTTTGTATTTTTAGTAGAGACGGGGGTTTCACCATGTTGGCCAGGCTGATCTCGAACTCCTAACCTCTTGATCCGCCTGCCTTGGCCTCCCAAAGTGCTGGGATTACAGGTGTGAGCCACTGTGCTCGGCCTGCACTTTCTTTATATTTATTTATTCACAACTGATCAGAAGGCATGTTCTTTTTTTTTTTTTCTTTTTTTTCTTTTTTGAGATGAAGTCTTGCTCTTGTCGCCCAGGCTGGAGTGCAATGGTGTGATCTCGGCTCGCTGCAACCTCCACCTCCCTGGTTCAAGCGATTCTCCTGCCTCAGCCTCCTGAGTAGCTGGGATTACAGGCACCTGTCACTACACCCAGCTAATTTTTGTATTTTTAGTAAAGACGGGTTTCACCATGTTGGCCAGGCTGGTCTCGAACTCCTGATCTCAGGCGATACACCCACCTCGGTCTCCCAAAGTGCTGGGATTACAGGTGTGAGCCACGGTGCCTGGCCTGCATGTTCTTTCTTTAAATATGGAAGAAGCCTGGCATGTTTTGAGGCCACAGCGAAGTTGCTGGTAGGGAAGGAGAAAGACAAGAGGGGGTAAAGCAATGCAGAAAGTTTGGGAAAATAGAGAGACTGAATTGAAGCATAAGGTGGAGAGATTAGCCTTAAACCCAAAGTTGGGCACTTTTTTTTCTCTAAGAACAAAGGAAAGAGGGCGGGCATGGTGGCTCACACCTGTAATCCCAGCACTTTGGGAGGCTGAGGTAGGCAGATCACTTGAGGTCAGGAGTTCAAGATCAGACTGGCCAACATGGTGAAACCCTGTCTCTACTAAAAATATAAAAATTAGCCAGGCATGGTGGCACGTGGCTGTAATCCCGCTACTTGGGAGGCTGAGGCATAAGGATCACTTGAACCTCGGAGGCAGAAGATGCAATGAGCGGAGATGGTGCCATTGCACTCCAGCCTTGGTGACAGAACAAGACTGTCTCAAAAAAATAGAACAAAGGAACGGAACAGAAGTAAGGGTGGACAAGAGTGATGCCAGCTCACCACTCCCGAGTGTTTTCTGTGTGTAGAGCACTCTACTAAGTGCATTATATACATTTTCTTGTCCGGTCCTCCCAACAATTCTGAAAAGTGTGTCTTGTTTGTGTTCCCATTTTACAGATGAGGAAATTGAATCTTTGAGAGGTCATAAAGCCTAAGGTCATAAAGCTATGGAGTCAGCCTTTGAGCCCAGGCATCCTGATGCCAGAGTCTAGATTCTTTTTGGCAGAATGTTCCTTATTTTTGTTTTATCTGATGTTTTTTCATGATTAGATTCAAGATATGCATTTCCAACCAGAATACTACTTAAGTGATGTGTTCGTCTCAGGCTTTCCATCAGAGGGCACAGAATGTCCATCTGTCCCTAAACAATCACACTGTTAAGGTGGTGTCCAATTGCCCTATTATACAGTCACTACTTTTTCCCTTCCAACTAATAAGCAATCTGAGTGGAGACACTTTAAAACCATGCAATTATCTTGCTCCTCAAGTTTCCTCCTAAATTTTGCATCCATAGGTACTTCTTGCCTGATCCATTTTACTACAATAATTGCAAAATAATGAATTCCCAATTGCAGCACTACTTCTACATTCACCATCGACCTCAGCTTCATTCTTCTTAAACAAGAGCGCTCTTCCTCTCTTTCTCTCTCATTGATATGAACTCATGATTCCTATTTTTTCAATGGGTTATAGTTTATTAATGTCCTTAATCATTTTGGTGCCCTAATATCCCAGATTTGGCCAGTGGGAGCTCCTTAAAGTTGGTTCCTTTATCCTGTGACATGCCCCCAGCACTTTTTTACTTTTTGACATAACACAACATTTCAGGCTCCTCATCTCATATCCACATTGCCCCAGACATTTCTCTAATGAACCCTGATTCCTTTTAGTGAGGAATGTATTAGAGACCAAGATCTCAGTGCAAAATGTTCTTATTGCTAATGGGATGTATTTGATTTTAGCCCTTTTTAGCAGATACAGCTGAATACACATACACACATTATCTACATATATGAATATGCATACACACATGCACATACATACTTGTGTATACATACATGTGTATGTTCAGACATATACATGTTTTAGAAATCATGAGTTCTGGCCAGGTGCAGTGGCTCATGCCCATAATCCCAGCACTTTGGGAGGCTGAAGCAGGTGGAGTTCTGAGGTCAGGAGTTCAAGACCAGCCTGGCCAACATGATGAAACCCCGTCTCTACTAAAAATACAAAAAAAAAAAAAAAATTAGCTGGGTGTGGTGGTGGGCACCTGTAATCCCAGCTACTTGGGAGGCTGAAGCAGGAGAATCACTGGAACCCAGGAGGTGGAGGTTGCAGTGAGCCGAGATTGTGCCACTCCACTCCAGCCTGGGCAACAAGAGCAAAACTCCGTCTCAAAAAAAAAAAAAAAAAGGAAAGAAATAATGAGTTCTTGGCTTTCAACAACATCAACACATTTATTCATTTGTTCAAGCATATAATATGTCTAAAATGTTTCAGAATTGATTTGCCAATGCCATTACATAAACAAACCTACCAAAGAGACTTCAGAATTTGTTTGAAGTTATCTTCCTACCCCTGCCTCACGGGAGCCTAGCTTCTGAACCAGTCTTGACTAGTATGGCTGTTTGCTCGGAGGAAGGTGGCAGCAGAGAGGGAGCAAGAGACTTGAAATGGAGGTGTGAAATAGCCACGGAGGGGGAAAGGTGCGGGAACTTCAGTTTCAGAAGCAGAAGATAAATTTCCAAGGCTGAAGGAGATACTTGTGTGCTGGCCCAGGACCACTTGATGGCATATTTTCCCGAAGCCATCTTGGCAGCCTGGGTACAGTAGAGAAGACAGATGGCTGAGATGACTGGCTGATCCAAAGTTGGGGAACTACCAGGTGGATGTGGCAGAAGGACAGAGTGTGAGGACACTGGGGTGCTGGCAAGAGAATGGTTGATGTCACGAACCCTGGAGTCTGGGCTGAATTGGGGAAGAAATGAAGCCAAGAGAAAGGGGAATGACTGGAGCTGTGAAGGGGTTTATTCATGTGATTTCTGGTCACTAAATCCAATAATCTAGGAATAGCAGTTCAGGGGGCTATGAGGAGAGATGGCATCTATCTTTATTTTATTTTATTTTATTTTATTTTTCTTGAGACCGTGTTTCGCTCTTGTTGCTCAGGCTGGAGTGCAATGGCGTGATTTCGGCTCACCAAAACCTCCGCCTCCTGGGTTCAAGCGATTCTCCTGCCTCAGCCTCCCGAGTAGCTGGGATTACAGGCATGTGCCACCATGCTAATTTTTTGTATTTTTAGTAGAGACGGGGTTTCTCCATGTTGGTCAGGCTGGTCTCAAACTCGCAACCTCAGGTGATCCGCCCGCCTCGGCCTCCCAAAGTGCTAGGATTACAGGCATGAGCCACCGCACCCGGCCAGCATGTATCAAAATTGGTTAGCGACAAGATGAGAAGAACTGTACTCAGAGCAACCAAAGAGGTCTTGTTTCCCCAAAGACCAGAGATTGAGGGAGAGAAGACCTAGCTAGCTCAGGCTGAAGAGGGAAACTGTTTAAAGCACATTATTGCAATGTATGATCAACAGCTAAGAGTAGTGGTCAAATGAAGGGACCTTAGAGATCATTTCACCTTTCACTTTTAAGGTCGGGTAGTAAAAGTGCAGAGCTATTAAGCAACTGCCCCATGCCTACTTGCCCCCAGCCTCTGTGGGATTCAAACTCAGGTGTTCTAAATGCCACATTGGTGGCTCTTTAACTCACTACAATGTTCTGAACCTAGCAAAACATCTGACTGCTTTGTTTTGCCTACTAGTCTTTGTTCTCCATCTAGGTTTTAAACACAGGGGCAGTTCTCCATAGTTCCTAAGTAAATCACTGCTCAATGCACCTTTTTTTTTTTTTTTTTTTTTTTTTTTGAGAAGGACTCTCGCTCTGTTGCCCAGGCTGGAGTGCAGTGGCACAATCTCGGCTCACTGCAACCTCCACCTCTCGGGTTCAAGCAATTCTCTGCCTCAGCCTCCTGAGTAGCTGGGATTACAGGCCCCTGCCACCACACCTGGCTAATTTTTGCATTTTTTGTACAGACAGGGTTTCACCATCTTGGCCAGGCTGGTCTTGAACTCCTGACCTCGTGATCCACCTGCCTCAGCCCAAAGTACTGGGATTACAGGCATGACCCAGTCTTTTTTTTTTTTTAAAGACAGAGTCTCACTCTCACCCAGGCTGGAGTACAGTGGCATGATCTCAGTTCACTGCAACCTCCACCTCCTGGGCTAAAGTGATCCTCCCACCCCAGCCTCCAGGGTAGTTGGGACTACAGGCATGTGCCACCACACCCGGCTATTTTTGTATTTTTTTGCTAGAGACAGGGTTTCACCACGTTGCCAAGACTGGTCTCGTACTGCTGGGCTCAATGGATCCACTTGCCTCAGCCTCCCAAAGTGCTGGGATTACAGGCATGAACCACCATGCCTGGCCTATCTCACTTTCAAGAGATGTTGTCCTCTCTCCAAAAACAAAGATATGCTGCCACCAGATGGTGATAGGACCTTCATTAGGCCCTGTGGTCCAAAGAGTAAGGCTTCGAAAGAAACCATGTTCATAGGCCAGGTGGCTCACTGCACCCTCTGCCTCCTGGGTTCAAGCTATTCTCCTGCCTCAGCCTCCAGAGTAGCTGGGATTACAGGCACACACCACCACACACTGCTGATTTTTGTATTTTTAGTAGAGACAGGGTTTCACCATGTTGGCCAGGCTGGTTTCGAACTCCTGGCCTCAACTGATCCACCCGCCTTGGCCTCCCAAAGGCTGCCGGCTGAATTTCTGAACAACTTTCAAACAAGGTTTGCTTTTGGGACTTGTCCTTTAAGGATATCCTTTTAGGGATAAAAAGTGGGGTTTTGGCTGGGTGCTTTCTAGATACTTAAAATGCTAATAGTTTTAGGATGTATGTAAGGTGCGGCATAGGAGAAGGCCATTTGCAAACTCCCTATATAAAGAGTATGGGGGCCAGGCATGGTGGCTCATGCCTGTAATCCCAGCACTTTGGGAGGCCAAGGTGGGAGGATCACGAGGTCAGGAGTTCGAGATCAGCCTGGCCAACATGGTGAAACTCAGTCTGTACTAAAAATACAAAAATTAGCCAGGTGTGGTGGTGGCGCCTGTAATCCCAGCTACTCAGGAGGCTGAGGCAGGAGAATTGCTTGAACCAGGGAGGCGAAGGTTGCAGTGAGCCAAGATTGCCCCACTGCACTCCAACCTGGGTGACAGAGCAAGACTCCATCTCAAAAAAAAAAAAAAAGTATGGGCTGATATTGCCCTTAAAAAGACTCACAGATTGAGGGTAGCTGCACCTAGGACCTCTCTGTACTCTCTGCTCAATTTGTCTGTAAATCTAAAACTGTTCTAAAATATTTTTAAAATACTCCTACACTAGGATTGCAATAAAATTTGTGTTGTCATGTGGTTCTAATCACTAGTAATCCAGGTAGTGATGGTGGCTGAAAGTTTAAAAGTGATAATGAAAAATGTGCTAGAAAACTTTCAATCCCATGTGATAGAAAAAAAGTAGTCAAAATAGGGCTCCTAGCATGAGCTGGAGTGACCACCCCTGTAAATGACTCCAGCGTGTTGACATGACAGGCTGCAGCTGGCCGACTTTGCTTGGTGCTCAGGAGAGGCTATTGGAAAGAAAAGGCGGATAAAAAATATCTGTTCACATAAAATTATGCAGTTAACCAATCAAAGGAAACAACTGGTTAGAGAGAAAGAATTTTAATCATCAGCCTAAAAAAATTACAAAACCTCATTGAACATAAGGTACGCAACATTAAATTCTGGGTAATACATGCATTGTTATTTCTATGTGGGAATACCTCATTGTGAGCAAACCTGACATACAGCAGTAGGACTGACCGTCACTAGAAAGCTTTGACACAACACTTTTTTTTATTATAGCACACTGCCAAAATGTGTTTAACATAGATTTTGATTTTTAAAAATTGATTTGCACATAATTTTAGAGAGAATATCTATTGGTTAAAATGAGGTATATCTGTGCTGCCATGAAGTGTGCCATGAGAACACACTTCAGTTTCTGATAAAGCATTTTTACACATCATAATAAAATTTCATTTTATGAAAAAATAGTTGAATTCATGAGGTATGCATCTTGACCACATGCCCACAGTGTAAGTACAAAGTGTAAGGTCAGTGCATGAGTGCACAACACAGTATACCACAAGTAAATGCAGTTCCCAGTCATACATCTCCCCCATTATAAAATGTGTCTAATCTCAAAACCCCCGATGAAGTGCTTGTGTGGCACAGCCCAGGCTCACCTACGGGTATGTGTATATGTGCAAGGATGGGTATGCCGCCATGGCAGCACAGCCTCTCTTTGTGGCAGGATATCTGCTCCTAGGCCAGTTTGGCTTCATACCTGGAGCTGGCTCTTGGCTGGAGTTTATGGTTCTCTTTGGAGAGCATGATACTGTAAAGCCTGGCTTCTTATTCTGTGCAAATAAGATTTTAAAAAGTTGAATTCAGTTTATTTTGCCATTTCCAAATATGTAGTTAGGGTTGGGGTTGGCTTTACAAGGAGCTGGTGAGAAATATTTGCATTTCTTCCCCAAATATAAAAGTAGTTGACAATGTTACAGAACAGAGGTGAATTGAGCATTTGTCCTGGTCCCTTAGCCAAATCAAGGTCAACATGAGACACATTTTTTTTTTTTTTTGAGATGGAGTCTTGCTCTGTTGCTCTGGCTGGAGTGCAATGGCACAATCTCAGCTCACTGCAACCTCTGCCTTCTGGGCTCAAGCAATTCTCCTGCCTCAGCCTCCCGAGGAGCTGGGACTACAGGCGTGCACCACCACACCCAGCTAATTTTTTTGTATTTTTAGTAGAGATGGGGTTTCGCCATTTTGCCCAGGCTGGTCTCAAACTCCTGACCTCAAGTGATCCTCCTGCCTTGGCCTCCCAAAGTGCTGGGATTACAGGCGTGAGCCACCACGCCGGCCAACATGGGCAACATTTTAATTGCCCCCAAAAGCAGAAGGACTGCATTTTATAAGCTGTCTAGAAACATTACACAAAAAAATAGAAAAACAATCTGTCAAGGTGGCAGATTGCCTCATTTTTTTCAATTATGTTTATCTGACATGTTATAGAAATTAAATACCCACATCTCTGTTACACAAGTATCACACTATAAATTTTAAGAAAATATGAGGTGGGATAATCGCTTGAGCCTGGCAGGCAGAGGTTGCAGTGAGCCAAGATCATGCCACTGCACTCCAGCCTGGGCGACAGAGCAAGACCCTGTCTCAAAAAAAAAAATTTTTTTTTAAGAAAATGAACTAAAGATAAAGGTTTGGATAACATTCATCCACTACACTGGATTTAACTGAATTCATGGTTATATGTTACAACCTAATTAGTATGTTTCAGTTCTGGGATATGGTTTTTGCTACTCATAGCCTTCCAGCAATGAATGCTAAGTGAAGAAAGAGGACAAGCTCATTCTTGATTAGTCTGTCAGGACTGAAACTCTCTTTAATTTGACTTTATTTAAGCCTATCTTTTCGCCGCTCTTCATTTTCTGTCATAATATGGTGATTGGACTATCAGTCTTGTCACTCCTAGAGGATCTTGTCTTCATGTCTTTTAAGGGCCTTGCACATAGTAGACACTAGAAGACACTGATAGGTAAATGAGAGCATCAGTGCAAGAATTCCCAAGCAACAGACTTGGGAAGACAGCAGGGACTCCATCCATTGGGAGAACCATCTACTCTATATCTAGTACACCTAACATAATCCACTGATTCTCAACCTGTGTTTTACCCAGACTCATGTGAACAACACCCTCCTGTACACATTCCCTGGGCTATTAGAAACAACAGCTTACTAGCTGTTTTGCCACCTTTTTTTTTTTTGGAGACAGAGTCTCACTCTGTCGCCCAGGCTGCAGTGGTGCGATCTCTGCTCACTGCAACCTCCACCTCCGGGTTCAAGTGATCCTCCTGCCTCAGCCTTCCAAGTAGCTGGGACTACAGGCGTGTGCCACCACACCTGGCTAATTTTTTGGTTTTTAGTAGAGACAGGGTTTCACCATGTTGGCCAGGCTGGTCTCGAACTCCTGACCTCAGGTTATCCGCCCACCTCGGCCTCCCAAAGTGCTGGGATTACAGGCATAAGCCACCGCGCCTGGCCTCACCACCTCTTTTTTCCTCCCTTTCAGGAAAAAACATGTGAGTGCAAATGAGCATGATGAATGTTATTATAGGGATAAATATGAATTCATTCAAACTTACTCTTTTTTTAAAGTTTTTATATTTTATTTATTTATTTATTTTGAGAAAGAGTCTCACTCTGTCACCCAGGCTGGAGTGCCGTGGTGCAATCTTGGTTCACTGCAAACTCTGCCTCCTGGGTTCAAGTGATTCTCCTGCCTCAGCCTCCCGAGTAGCTGGGGTTATAAGCATGCACCACTACACCCAGCTAATTTTTATATTTTTAGTTGAGACAGGGTTTGGCCATGTTGGCCAGGCTGGTCTTGAACTGGAACTCCTAACCTCAGGTGATCCACTCGCCTCAGCCTCCTAAAGTGCTTGGATTACAGGTGTGAGCCACTGCACCTGACCAAACTTACTCGTTCACTTTTTTTTTTTTTTTTAGACGGAGTCGCACTCTGTCACCCAGGCTGGAGTGCAATGGCACGATCTCAGCTCACTGCAACCTCTGCCTCCCGGGTTCAAGCGATTCTCCTGCCTCAGCCTCTCCAGTAGCTGGGATTACAGGCACACACCACCATGCCCAACTAATTTTTGTATTTTTTAATAGAGATGGGGTTTCACCATGTTGGCCAGGCTGGTCTTGAACTCCTGACCTCAAATCATCTGCCTGCCTTGGCCTCCCAAAGTGCTGGGATTACAGGCATGAGCCACTGTGCCCGGCCTAAAACTTACTCTTTTAAAAAAGCAAACAATTCACAAAACTTGGTACTGAATGGTCAGTGGTAACTGTAGCCTGAGGGTGCAAAATGCCTTAGATGTTCACCTGCGCAGAACGAATCCGAGAAGGTAAAACTGGACTGTGCATCACCGCCCTCCAAATCACATAATACATTTGAGAACTAATTAAAATTAATCACTGGCATATAAGTATATACAGTATATTAGGTGAAGTACCTGCATTCTCCCTTTATTCTTAGGCAGAATCAGGGTGGCCATTGATGGGTCCAGGGGGGTGTCTTTGTCTCTTCTATTTAAATTTGTCTAAAATAAATGAACATATCCTCACTAAATTTTCCACTTGAGCAAGTGTGATTACAGTGAATATACATTATTCATTTGTTTCTTATTCATACATGTTGATTCATTGTGATATTCCCACATAAAAGGACAGGCAAAACATAATTCAAAGAAGGAAAAACAATTCAAAGGAGGAAAAGTGACTAATTTACTGAGTACCTACGATATGCCAGGTGCTTTACCCTTTCACACTAATTCACACAACTTTAGGATGTAGATATTATTACCTCAGTATTTCAGATGCAGAAACTTAGTAACCCCAGGGTGGTCAGATGACTCACAGAATATTAAATAGTGGGGCTGAAATTTGAACTCAAGGCAGACTTCAAAATGTATGTATGCTCTTGCCACCAGCTGTGCTCTGTGGGGATTCCCCAGTATTACACAGTGAGGCCTCATTATAGTATTCTTTTTTTTTTTTTTTTAAGACGGAGTTTCACTCTTGTTGCCCAGGCTGGAGTGCAATGGCGCAATCTTGGCTCACTGCAACCTCTGCCTCCCGGGTTCAAGCGATTCTCCTGCCTCAGCCTCCCAAGTAGCTGGGATTACAGGCATGCGCCACCATGCCCTGCTAATTTTGTCTTTTTAGTAGAGACAGGGTTTTTCCATGTTGGTCAGGCTGGTCTTGAACTCCCGACCTCAGGTGATCCGCCCGCCTCGGCCTCCCAAAGTGCTGGAATTACAGGCATGAGCCACCGTGCCCAGCCTATAGTACTCTTTTTTTCTGAGACAGTATCACTCTTGTCGCCCAGGCTGGTTGCAATGGCGCAATCTTGGCTCACGGCAACCTCCACCTCTTGAGTTCAAGCGATTCTCCTGCCTCAGACTCCCCAGTAGCTGGAATTACAGGCGCCTGCCACCACGCCTGGCTAATTTTTATATTTTTAGTGGAGACAGGGTTTCACCATGTTGGCTGGGCTGGTCTTGAACCCCTGACCTCAGGTGATCCACCCACTTCAGCCTCCCAAAGTGCTGGGATTACAGGCGTGAGTCACCGTGCCTGGGCAGCACTGTTAACCATAGGGTAGTGTTTCACATGAGGAGGGCCCATTTTGCACCCTATCCCCTAAGAATCAGCTACTAACTATTGTACCAAAACTGTTTTTTTATTTTTTTGGGACAAAGTCTCACTATGTCATCTAGGGTGGAGTGCAGTGGCAGGATCACAGCTCACTGTAACCTTAAACTCCTGGACTCAAGTGATTCTCCCACCTCAGCCTCCCAAGTAGCTAGGACTACAGGGGCAGGCTACCACATCCAGCTAAGTTTTTTTTTTTTTTTAAGACGGGGTTTCGCTCTATTGCCCAGGCTGGAGTGCAGTGGCGTGATCTCGGCTCACTGCAACCTCTGCCTCCCAGGTTCAAGTGATTGTCCTGCCTCAGCCTCCCGAGTAGCTGGGACTACAGCGATGCACCACCACGCCCAGCTAATTTTTTGTATTTTTAGTAGACACGGGGTTTCACTGTGTTAGCTAGGATGGTCTCAATCTCCTGACCTCGTGATCCGCCTGCCTCAGCCTCCCAAAGTGTTGGGATTGCAGGCATGAGCCACTGTGCCCAGCCCACATCCAGCTAAGTTTTAAAGTTTTTTGTAGAGATAGGATCTTGCTATGTTGCTCAGGCTGGTCTTGACCTCCTGGCCTGAAGTGATCCTCCCACCTTTGCCTCCCAAAGTGCTGGGATTACAGGTGTGAGCTACCGTACCTGACCTCAAAACCCACCTCCCACCTTTTTTTTTTTTTTTTTTAATTTTTAGCAAGGTCTTGCTCTGTCGCCCAGGCTGGGGTGCAGTGGTAGGATCACAGCTCACTGTAGCCTTGACCTCTCGGGCTCAAGCAATCCTCCTACCTCAGCCTCCCAAGTAGCTAAGACTATAAGCATGCGCCACCATGCACAGCTCATTTTTTTTCTTCTTTTTTTTTTTTCTAAGACAGAGTCTTGCTCTGTCACCCAAGCTGGGCGCAATCTCAGCTCACTGCAACCTCTGCCTCCTAGGTTCAAGCAATTACTGTGACTCAGCTTCCTGAGTAGCTGCCACTACAGGCATACACCACCATGCCCAGCTAATTTTGCATTTTTAGTAGAGGTGGGGTTTCACCATGTTGGCCAGGCTGGTCTTGAACTCCTGGTCTCATGTGATCCACCCATCTTGTCCTCCCAAAGTGCTGAGATTACCGGTATGAGCCACCGTGCCCAGCCATGCCTAGCTAATTTTTAAAAAAAATTTTTGTAGAGATGGGGTCTTGCTATGTTGCCAGAGCTAGTCTCAAACTTCTGGACTCAAGCAGTCCTCCTCTCTCAGCCTTCCAAAGTGCTGGGATTACAGATGTGAGCCACCGTGCCTGGCCACCCAGGCTGGAGTACAGTGGTATGATCATGGCTCACTGCAGCCTCCAACTCTGGTCTCATGTGATCTGCCCACCTCAGTGTCTCAGATAGGTGGGACTATGTGCACCACTATGCCCAGCTAATTTTTGTTTATTTTTTGTAGAGATGAGGTTTCACTATGTTGTGCAGGCTGGTCTTGAACTCCTGGGCTCCAGTGATCCTCCTGCCTCGGCTTTCCAAAGTGTTGGGTTTGGCCAGGCGTAGTGGCTCACACCTGTAATCCCAGCACTTTGGGAGGCTGAGGCAGGCGGATCACCTGAGATCAGAAGTTCAAAACCAGCCTGGCCAACATGGTGAAACCCCGTCTGTACTAAAAATAAAAAATTAGCCAGGCAAGGTGGCATGTGCCTGTAATCCCAGCTACTCGGGAGGCTGAGGCGGGAGAATCACTTGAACCCGGGAAGTGGAGGTTGTAGTGAGCTGAGATCGCGCCACTGAACTCAAGCCTGCGTGACAGAATGAGACTCTGTCTCAAAAAAAGAAACAAAAAAGAAAACACACAAAGTGTTGGGCTTTCAGGTGTGAGCCACCATGGCCGGACAGCCTATTTTTTTACACAAAAAAATCAATGATTTTGACTGGGCATGGTAGCTCATGCCTGTAATCCCAGCACTTTGGGAGGCCAAAGTGGGTGGATTACTTGAGTTTAGCAGTTTGAGACCAGCCTGGGCAACATGTCGAAACCCTGTCTCTACTAAAAATACAAAAATTAGCCGAGCATGGTGGTGGGCACCTGTAATCCCAGCTACTCCAGAGGCTGAGACCCGAGAATCACTTGAACCCAAGAGGTGGAAGTTGCAGTGAGCTGAGATTGCCTCTGCACTCCAGCCTGGGTAACAGAGTAAGACTCCATCTCAAAAAAAAAAAAAAGAAAAAAAATCAAAGATTTTATAGCCATAAAACTATAAAGTACTAAACATTGGCTGAGTGTCTCTCCTCTGTGTTGCCACTGCATCCTACTCTGTGATACAATTTCCTACTTACTTGCTGAAATCTCCACCAGATTCTGAAGTCCCCGAGGCAGGGATAGTATTTTGTTCAAGGTTGCATTCACAGCATCCAGTAAAGGGACTGGCATGTAGTAGGTGCCCAATAAAATTCATTGATTTATTTTAAAATAACATTTGCTGATTGAGTAGATGGGTGAGTAGAGGGATGAATGGATGGTAAGTAAGGCAGCCTGTTCTTATGTTCTTGGTGTAAAATCACAAATCACCAATATTTGATTCCAGACTTCAGTCATGTCTAATCCAAAGCAGTGTCAATGTCTCCCCCAGTTTTAATGTTTTCTTGCTCCCAGTGGCACTGTCAGGTTAGGGTAACGTAAATGGCTATTACATTTGTCACATTGTGGGAGAGAGGTGCTAATTCGAGAGGTTAGAGAATCTGTGTGACAAAGAGTCAAAAACAAAAATACTACCTCATTTAACCTTGGGTTTTCATTTTTCATTGGTAAAAAACTGGAATTCTCTGAGTTTTTGAAAAAGGTTGGCTGCTTTTGCAGAGTAGAAGCAAATCCTGCCTTTTCCTAGGATTGAGTGAAAAGAGAATCTTTTTCAATTGATCTATTCAAAATTGATCCAATTTACCCAACAGCAAAACTTGTACTTCTGAAAGCACGTTTGTCTTTAGAAAGCAGAGGGTATGGTGGGAGTGTGGCAGCTTGGACAAAGATTGATGAGCTATCCAGCTGTCTTAGCCTGGACCAGGCCTGGCCCCCAGCCATCCATCTACTCCTGACTAGCTCTAGCCACTACCATTCCAGTATCATGTATTTTCTCTGGAAATTCAGACTTGGCTAAAACCCAGATTTCTTATGCCAGAGTGTAGGAGAGGTTCAGTGGGCCAAGGCCAAAACCTGCTCGGAGATGTCCGGAGGGCCCCTGGAAGGGTTCTGATCGCAAAACAGAAAGTCTCCCTCTGCCCCAATCTCCATCCCCTTTTTGGTTTAGAGTAAACTTTAACCCCCTTTCCTTATCCCTCTATGGAATGGTCTGAAACTAGACAGTAGAAATAGCCAGCAAGTCTTTCTTACTGAGGTATCTTCTGTTAACTTTAACTTCTGCATCAAATTTTTTTTCTGATACTGCTCATTTCGCTGTTTCCTAGTCTGAAGTGACTTCTTTTTTTTCTTCTTAAACATCTTCTTTTTCTGAGTCAGCTATTCCAGAAAGTAGAGAAACTGGTCATTGAAGATTCCAGAACTAGGCCCACCCACATGTGGCACTCTTCATGCAACACTCAAGACACAAAGGCTAACTCGGTATGCAGATTTGTGGTGTTGGTTTGGAGAATAAACAAACAGTTCAGTTCCCTCCTTACTGGAGGATGCTTCCTACTTAATACCCCCAAATCACACTGTTACAGATAAACTGCCAAAGGGGTACTTATGGTTGGGCATGGTGGCTCATGCCTGTAATCCCAACACTTGGGGAGGCTGAAGCGGGTGGATCACTTCAGGTCAGGAGTTTGAGACCAGCCTGGCCAACATGGTAAAACCCCACCTCTACTAAAAATACTAAAATTAGCCGGGTGAGGTGGCAGGTGCCTGTAATCCCAGTTACTCAGGAGGCTGAGGCAGGAGAATTGCTTGAACCTGGGAGGTGGAGGTTGCAGTAAGCTGAGATCACGCCCCTGAACTCCAGCCTAGGCGACAGAGTGAGACTCCATCTCAAAAAAAAAAAAAAAAAAGGCCCAGTGCAGCAGCTCACGCCTATATTCCCAGCACTTTGGGAGGCCAAGGCGGGCAGATCACGAGGTCAGGAGTTTGAGACCAGGATGGCCAACCCCATCTCTACTAAAAATACAAAAATTAGCCGGGCGTGGTGGCATGTGCCTGTAATCCCAGCTACTCAGGAGGCTGAGGCAGGAGAATTGCTTGAACCCAGAAGGCGGAAGTTTGCGCCACTGCACTCCAGCCTAGGAGACAGAGCAAGACTCCATCTCAAAAGACAAACAAACAAACAAAAAAACACAAAGGGGCACTTATACTAATAACCAAATATCTGTGATTTACAATATGAAATCAGATTACTTATGGCAATAATATCAGGCCCAGATATTAATGATCATTAAATGTGTGGTTAAAAGATTCAGTTTGGGTGTTACCTTAAGATGGCCTTAAAAATTAAGCAAGAAAGTTATAAAGGACAAAACAAGAGACTTTAGGGCAAGGTGACTAGTTAGGACATTACTGTATATTTTCTGCAGGTCTTAGGACTGTTGGAAAATTCCAACAAATTGTCTGGTAGTGTCATGACTTTTTTTTAAGGCTGCTATTTCCTGGGTATAAGAGTTCAGCTTACCTCATCTGCTATGTTTGCTAGGTGAACAGGAAGACCATCTGAGAGAGAACTGTCAGAGCCACTGGTGCTGTTTCCAAAAGAAAAAAAGAAGAGGAAATAACTGTCATTGATATGTCTAGGAAGCATAACATTTACCAGACCAGCTGTATGGGATTAGGATTAGGATATCTTCTAGTCTACTATTTCTCTCATTGTCTATGCTTCAATTACTAAAAATTATTATTTTCTTCCTTTTTTATATTTTTGGGACAGGGTCTCACTCTGTCACCCAGGCTGGAGTGCAGTACTGTGATCATAGATCACTGCAGCCTTGACCTCCCCGGCTCAAGAGATCCTCCCACCTCAGCCTTCTGAGCAACTGAGACTACAGGCTCATGCCGCCATGCCTGGCTAATTTTTAAAATTCTTGTAGTCACAGGATCCCACTATGTTGCCTGGGCTAGTCTTGAACTTTTGTGTTCAAGCGATCCTCTTGCCTCAGCCTCTTAAAGTACTTAGATTACAGGTATGAGAAATTGCGCCCAAGCAATCACTAAGAATTCTTGACAGCTGGGTGCGGTGGCACACGCCTGTAATCTCAGCATTTTGGGAGGCCAAGGTGGGTGGATCACCTTGGTCAGGAGGTGGTCAGGAGTTTGAGACCACCCGGACTAACATGGTGAAACCCCGTCTCTATTAATACAAAAAAATTATCTGGGTGTGGTGGCGCACGCCTGTAGTCCCAGCTACTCAGGAGGCTAAGGCAGGAGAATTGCTTGAACCTGGGAGGCAGAGGTTGCAGTGAACCGAGATTGCGCCATTGCACTCCAGCCTAAGCAACAAGAGTGAAGCTGTCTCAATAAAAAAAAAAAAGAAAAATTTTTTTTTGAGACAGAGTCTCCCTATGTCAACGTCTCGAGTAGCTGGAACTACAGGTGCCCGCCACCATGCCCAGCTAATTTTTTGTATTTTTAGTAGAGATGGGGTTTCACCGTGTTAGCCAAGATGGTCTCGATCTCCTGACTTCATGATCCTCCCGCCTCGGCCTCCCAAAGTGCTGGGATAACAGGCGTGAGCCACTGTACCCGGTACCCAAAAAAGAATTCTTGACAAGCACATTCATTCATTCACTCCGAACACCTACTGCATGCCAAGCAGTGTGCTAGGCACAGGGAACACAGATGAACGAGGCAGAGCCTCTGGCACCAAAGAGTTTGCAGTCCATATGGCAAAGCAAATACTGGCCAGATGGGCAGAATTGCCCTTGGTGGAGGTTGTGAGAGGCTACAGGATTCTCAATGTGCAGGCCTAGAGAACAGCAGAGGACTGTCATTTGTTTGAAAACAAGGGATCTTTCTCATTTATTCCTCTTTGGCTGGTACCAATTCAGAAATCCAGGATCCTAACAGGTACTCTGAAGAAATGTATTCAATATATAAACATATGCATTTAATAAAGAATCTGAGCCTGGGCGATACAGTACGTCGCTGTATCTACAAAAAATGTTTTTTTTAAAATTAGCTAGTAATGGTGGTGCCTCCTGTGGTCCCAGACACTTGGGAGGCTGAGATAGGAGGACCACTAGTGCCCAGGGGGTTGAGGCTGCAGTGAGCCGAGATTGTGCCACTGCACTCCAGTCTGAGCAACAGGGCAAGAAACTATCTAAAAAAATAAATAAATAACAAAAAGAACCTTCAGGTCAGAGACCAAGATTACTTTTATCACCCCAATTTTCCTTCAAAAGTTTTGAATGAGGCCAGGCATGGTGGCTCATGACTATAATCCCCACACTTTGGGAGGCCAAGGCAGGAGGGATCACTTGAGGCCAGGAATTAAAGACCAGACTGGGCAACACAGTGATACCCTGTCTCTATTAAAAAAAAAAAAAGGGTGGCTGGGCACAGTGGTTCACACCTGTAATCCCAGCACTTTGGGAGGCTGAGGCTTAAAGATCTCTTGAGCCCAGGAGTTTGAGACCAGCCTGGGCAACATGGCAAAACCCTGTCTCTACAAAAAAATACAAAAATTAGCCAGGTGTGGTGGTGTACGCCTATAGTCCCAGCTACTGGGGAGGTTGAGCTGGGAGGATCATTTGAGCTCAGGAGGTTGAGGCTATAGTGAGCTGTGATTGCGCCACTGACTCTAGCCTGGGCGACAGAGCGACACTCTTTCTAAAAAAAAAAAAAGGTTTGGATGCTCATCTAGACTAATCTAAAGTCTTCCCTCACAAACTGTGTCCTCCCCCTTTCTGCAAGGGCTAGGATGAATGAAAACTTAAATAATCAAACCTTTCTTTCTTCATGTCTTTTGCTTAAGTGTCACATTATATTTTCCCCTTTCCTGGGGTTTAGTTGGCTAGAACCAAGAGCTGTTCTCTATGACAGGGGTCTATACACACAGTTTACTGGCACAAGGCCAGGCGCGGTGGCTCATGCCTGTAATCCCAGCACTTTGGGAGGCCGAGATGGGCAGATCACTTGAGGTCAGGAATTCGAGACAAGCCTGGCCAACATTGTGAAACTCCATCTCTACTAAAAATACAAAAAAAAAATTAGCTGGGTGTGGTAGCGGGTGCCTGTAATTCCAGCTACTCGGGAGGCTGAGGCATGAGAATTGCTTGAACCCGGGAGGTGGAGATTGCAGTGATGCAGTGAGCCGAGATCGCACCACTACACTCCAGCTTGGGTGACAGAGTGAGACTCCATCTCAAAAACAAACAAACAAACAAACAAACAAAAAACACTTATTGGCACAGAGCTCGAATCACATGGGAGAAGTCAGGATTTCAAACCATTCAGCTGCCCAGGCCTTCATTCTGTTTCTGCTCCCCTCCCACCTCTCAGTGCACAATGAGTAGTAGTCCCACAGAAAGACAGCAGGAAGAAAACCCCATCTTCTCTGACCTAATTCCCAATTCCCTGTTCTCACAAGGTGTTTTTCTAGTCAAGGAGTAGCCTTTTAGGATGCTGGAAGTCCTGTTGGTAGAAAATGTTAGCAAATGGGACAAAAGCACTAAAAGCAGTATGTCCCAGAAAGTGTCAAAACCTTTGTGTGTACACACACAGAGCAAACTCAAACTGGGCTTGTACACTCACAGTCTGCTTTCCTTTGCAATCGTGACAATGAATAGGTGGAACCCCACTGGAGACTGTGACAGCCAGTTTCTTGAGGCAGAGGCTGGCAAATTGGGTTCAATAATTCTTAACCATATGCATCAGAGTGTCCCTGCTGAGCCACTAGACTGTAGAGTCTGCCTGTTTCTGAATTGGTTCCCCTTGGGCCCTATTTATTTCTTTTTAAATTTTTTAAAAAATAGAAATGGGATCTCACTATGTTGACCAAGCTGGTCTCCAACTCCTGGCCTCAAACAATCCTCCCATCTCAGTCTCCCAAAGTGCTGGGATTACAGACATGAGCCATCATACCCGTTATTACAGACATGAGCCATCATGCCTAGCCACATCTTGGGCACTATTTCTATGAGTTGATATGCAGAGCACACTTTTTTTTTTTGAGACAGGGTCTCGCTGTGTCGCTCAGGTTGGAGTGCAGTAGTGCAATCTTGACTCACTGCAGCCTTGACCTCCTGGATTCAAATGATCCTCTCACCTTAGCCTCCCAAGTAGCTGGGACAACAGGCATGAGTCACCATGACTGGCTACTTTTTGCATTTCTTGTAGAGATAGGGTTTCTCCATGTTGCCCAGGCTTGTCTTGAACTCCTGGGCTAAAGTGATCCGCCCATCTTGGCCTCCCAAAGTGCTAAGACTACAGGCGTGAGCCACTGCATCCAGCCGGCATTTTGTTTTTGAGGGTGTATTTGGAGAGGGGTTGGTGCAGAGGTCTTGGTGAGTTAGGCATAGGATTCTGAGAGAGTGGAAGGGATGACATGGTGAATGGGGCACACTACCTGGTCTGATGGCCTAGTTTAAGGTCCCCAAAGAAATATTTGTGAGACTCAGAATTGCTTTTGGGCCCAGATGTCAATGTGCCATAGAGTGGGTGGAAGAGCCATCCCTTTTCCACTGTCCACCACAGACTACAGTGCAGCCTCTGTCAGAAGACTTCCACGCCAGCTCAGAAGCCTGAAAGCAGCTGGGTCATCCACGAGGCACTTTAGCCAGTAAGTTAGAGTAGAAGGTATTCTTGCATACCTGGGAGACATAACCTTTTGGGGGCTTCCTAAATAGCTGGGGAGACTATGAAGGTACAGATGAGATCCTGAATGCTAAATTAATTCAAAAAATATTTGTTGAGCTCTTCCTCTGTGCTAGGTACAGAACAGTACCATTCTAAGTGCATGAGATACAGAGCAAACGAAAAGATCTCTGACTTTGCAGAACCTATCTCCTAGTAGAGGGAAACAGACAATAAACAACAGATATTGGCTGGGCATGGTGGCTCATGCTTGTCATCCCAGCACCTTGGGAGGCCAAGGTGGGTGGATCACTTGAGGTCAGGAGTTCAAGACCAGCCTGGGCAACATGGTGAAACCCCATCTCTACTAAAAATACAAAAATTAGATGGCCGGGCGCAGTGGCTCATGCCTGTAATCCCAGGACTTTGGGAGGCCGAGGTGGGCGGATCACCTGAGGTCGGGAGTTCGAGACCAGCCTGACCAATATGAGTAAACCCCATCTCTACTAAAAGTACAAAATTAGCCAGGCGTGGTGGCACATGCCTGTAATCCCAGCTATTTGGGAGACTGAGGCAGGAGAATCGCTTGAGCCCGGGAGGTGGAGACTGCAGTGAGCCGAGATCGTGCCGTTGCACTCCAGCCTGGGCAACAAGAGCGAAATTCTGTCTCAAAAAGAAAAAAAAAAATTAGCAGGCATGGTGGTGGGCGCCTGTAATAATCCCAGCTACTCGGGAGACTGAGGCAGGAGAATTGCTTGAACCCGGGAAGCGGAGGTTGCAGTGAGCTGAGATCACGCCATTGGACTCCAGCCTGGGTGACAGAGAGAGACTCCATCTCAAAAAAAAAAAAAAAAAAAAAATTGGCCAGGCGCAGTGGTTCATGCCTGTAATCCCAGCACTTGAGGAGGCCGAGATGGGTGGATCACCTGAGGTCAGGAGTTCGTGACCAGCCTGGCCAACATGGTGAAACCGCATCTCTACTAAAAATTAGCCAGCCGTGGTGGTGGGCACCTGTAATCCCAGCTAATCGAGAGGCTGAGGCAGGAGAATAGCTTAAACCTGGGAGACAGAGGTTGCAGTGAGTGGAGATCACGCCATTGCACTCCAGCCTGGGCAAGAAGAGTGAAAGTCTGTCTCAAAAATAAATAAATAAATAAAACAGATATAGTAAAGACTTAAATGATACAGAATGACAGAGGCAATAAATGCTATGGAAAAAAGTAGAGCACCTAAGGGGGATAAGGAGTGGCAGGAGGGTGAAGGAGGGGAGTAAGTTGTAGCATTAGAGTAATGTGTGTAGGTCATGTTGAAAAAGGCAGCATTTGGCTGGGCGCGGTGGCTCACGCCTGTAATCCCAGCACTTTGGGAGGCCGAGGTGGGCAGATTGCCTGAGGTCAGGAGTTCGAGACCAGCCTATCCTAGGCAACACAGTGAAACCCTGTCTCTACTAAAATACAAAAAATTAGCCAGGCGTGGTGGCGTGCACCTGTAGTCCCAGCTACTTGAGGGGCTGAGGCAGGAGAATTGCTTGAACCTGGGAAGCGGAGGTTGCAGTGAGCTGAGATCGTGCCACTGCACTCCAGCCTGGGTGACAGAGCGAGACTCCGTCTCAAAAAAAAAAAAAAAAAAAGGGTTAGGGTGGAGGCCATAGAGGTATCAGGAGGCTTATAGCCTTATAGGCCATTGTAGGGTCTTTGGCTTTTTTTAAAACTGAGTCGGGGAGATACTGAAGTGCTTTCAACAGATACATGATATTATCTGATTTAGGTTATTTATTTATTTATTCATTCATTTTTTGAGATGGAGTTTCGCTCTTGTTGCCCAGGCTGGAGTGCAATGGTGCGATCTCGGCTCACTGCAACCTCCGTCTCCGGGTTCCAGTGATTATCCTGCTGCAGCCTCCCGAGTAGCTGGGATTACAGGCATGTGCCATCACACACAACTGATTTTGTATTTTTAGTAGAGATGAGGTTTCTCCATGTTGGTTAGGCTGGTCTTGAACTCCTGACATCAGGTGATCTGCCAGCCTCGGCCTCCCAAAGTCCTGGGATTACAGGTGTGAGCCACCGCGCCTGATTTAGGTTTTTTAAAAAATCACTCTTCTGCTTTTTTTCAGCCTTGCTAGTCCCTTCGTCTCAGTCGCCTTTGCTGGCTCCTCCCCTATTAAAGTTGTATTATCCAGCTCAAACCTCAGACTTGGACCTCTTCTCTATCTGCACTTACTTCCTTGAGATCCCACCAGTCTTTTTTTTTTTTTTTTTTTTTTTTTCTGAGACAGGGTCTCACTCTATAGCGCAGATTGTAGTACACTAGCGCGGCCATACCTCACTGCAACCTCGAATTTCTGAGCTCAGCAATCCTCCTGCCTCAGCTTCTTAAGTAGCTAGGACTACAGGTGCATACCCCGACCCCCTGCTAAGTTTTTTTTTTTTTTTTTTTTTTTTTTGAGACCAGAGTCTCACTCTGTCACCCAGGCTGAAACGCAGTGGCGCAATCCCAGCTCACAGTAACCTCCACCTCTCGGGTTCAGGCGATCCTCCCTCCCGCCTCAGCCTCCCAAGTAGCTGGGATTACAGGCATGTGCCACCACACCCAGCTAATTTTTGTATTTTTAATAGAGATGGGGTTTCATAATGTTGGCCAGGCAGGTCTTGAACTCCTGACCTCAAGTGATCCGCCTGCCTTGGCCTCCCAAAGAGTGGGAATTACAGGTGTGAGCCACTTCATCCAGTCCCCATCTAGTGTTAAGGTTTAAATATTATCTACCAGGCTGGGCATGGTGTCTCACGCTTGTAATCGCAGCACTTTGGGAGGCTGAGGCGGGCAGATCCGTTGAGCTCAGTAGTTAGAGACCAGCCTGGGCAACATGGCAAAACCTGTTCTCTACAAAAAACACAAAAATTAACCGGGCATGATGGTGCACACCTGTAGTCCCAGCTACTTGGGGAGCTGAGGCAGGAGGATTGCTTGAGCCCAGGAAGTTGAGGATGCAGTGAGCAGAGATCATACCACTGCACTCCAGCCTGGGTGGAGAGCAACACCCTGTCTCAAGAAAAAAAAGTCATCTATCCAATGATGACTCTCTCATTGGTCCACTGGACCTCTCCACTGAACTCCAGACCCATATAGCCTACTGCTTGTTCGAGGTCTCCACTAAATATATAATGGACATTACAAACTTAACAAGCCTAACACTAGACTCCTGATCTTCACTACCTCTCTAATTTTTTCCACTCCTTTGATCTTTCCCATCTCAGCTAAAGGCAACTCCATCCAACCAATTGTGGAGTCATTCTCTTCTTTTCTCATGCCCATATCCAATCCACAGGCAAATCCTAATGTTTATAATTTCAAAATATATCTAGAATCCAACCAATTCACACATCCCCCCACAACCACTGCTGCTACTCTGGTCTAAGCCTCCATTACCTTTTACCTGTATTATTGGTCTAAGCCTCCATTATCTTTTACCTATATTATTGCAAGAGCCTCCTATTGAGTCTCCCTGCTTAGAACTTCCCTCTTTATGATCTACTTTTCACACAGCAGCCAGTGTTCCTGTTGAAACTAAAACCTGTCTGGGGCCGGACGCGGCGGCTCACGCCTGTAATCCCAGCACTTTGGGAGGCCCAGGCGGGTGGATCACGAGGTCAGGAGATTGAGACCATCCTGGCTAACACGGTGAAACCCCATCTCTACTAAAAATACAAAAAATTAGCCGGGCGTTGTTGCAGGCGCCTGTAGTCCCAGCTACTCGGGAGGCTGAGCCCGGAGAATGGCCTGAACCCGGAAGGCGGAGCTTGCGGTGAGTGGAGATCGCGCCACTGCAGCCTGGGCGACAGAGCGAGCCTCCATCTCAAAAAAAAAAAAAAAAAAAAAGAAACTAAAACCTGTCAAACCATGATATTTCTCTACTCAAAACCTTCCAAAGGCTTTCCATCTCCGTTGGAGTGAAAGGCAAAGGCTTTGCAGTTCCCTACAAGGCCCTACACAAACTGCCTGCCCAACTCCCTACTCCTTTCTAATGGCTAAAACAGAGGCTGGCAAAGAATATTCACTCTTTTGTTTTGTTTTTTGTTTCTGAGCCTGTCGCCCATGCTGGAGTGCAGTGGCATGATCTTGGCTCACTGTAGCCTTAACTTCCTGGGCTCAGGTGATCCTCCCACCTCAGCCTCCCCAGTGTCTGGGACTACAGGCATAGATCACCAAGCCCAGCTAATTTTTGTATTTTTTGTAGAGACAACATCTCACTATATCACCCAGGTTAACAACAAAGTATTTAAAAAAAAACAAAACTCTGTTTTTTCTTTGTTACCTGGATTCAATGTCAGACAAAGAGATGTCACTCCAACTTCCTTCTAAATCTACATCTTGTCCAAGTTCATGGAATTTCTTGTGGATTTCCTGTCGTAAAAGCTCCTTAAGCTCTGCTAGACACTGAGTGAACTATGAAAGTGAAAAAAAGAACTATTTTGTTAATTCATTTTATTTTATTTATTTATTATTATTATTTTTGAGACGGAGTTTGACTCTTGTTGCCCAGGCTGGAGTACAATGGCACTATCTTGGCTCACTGCAACCTCTGTCTCCTGGGTTCAAGCGATTCTCCTGCCTCAGCCTCCCAAGTAGCTGGGATTACAGGCATGCCCCACCACACTCAGCTAATTTTGTATTTTTAGTAGAAACAGGGTTTCACCATATTGGTCAGGCTGGTTTTGAACTCCCGACCTCAGGTGATCCACCTGCCTCAGCTTCCCAAAGTGCTGGGATTACAGGCGTGAGCCATCATGCCTGGCCCATTTTATTTATTCATCAAATATTTACTAAGTATATGCTGAAAGGCATTTTATTTATTGCTGGGAACACAAAGATGAATAACCTGCACCCCTGCTAGTAAGGACATGTTAACAGAAAATTACATGAGCGGGAGGAACAAATAGAAATTTTTTTAGGGCAGAACATCAGTGAGCACTGCTCTAGCCACTTTTCTCTGACTAGAGCCAACTTCTTCTTTTTTATTTTTTTTTGAGACAGAGTCTTGCTCTGTCTCCAGGCTGGAGTACAGTGGCGTGATCTTGGCTCACTGCAACCTCCGCCCCCTGGGTTCAAGCCATTCTCCTGCCTCAGCCTCCTGAGTAGCTGGGACTACAGGCGCACACCACCACGCCCAGCTAATTTTTGTATTTTTAGTAGAGATGGGGTTTCACCACGTTGGCCAGGATGGTCTCGAACTCCTGACCTCGTGATCTGCCCGCCTTGGCCTCCCAAAGTGCTGGGATTACAGGCGTGAGCCATCATGCCTGGCTGCCAACTTCTTCAACAATGCAATACTCTATTTTATTTTATTTTATTTTATTTTATTTTATTTTATTTTATTTTATTATTTTATTTTTTTTGAGACGGAGTCTTGCTCTGTCACCCAGGCTGGAGTGTAGTGGCATGATCTCTGCTCACTGCAACCTCTGCCTCCCAGGTTCAAGTGTTTCTCCTGCCTCAGCCTCCCGAGCAGCTGGGATTACAGGCGCTTGCCACCACGCCTGGCTAAATTTTTGTATTTTTAGTAGAGATGGGGGTTTCACCGTGTTGGTCAGGCTGGTCTCGAACTCCTGACCTTGTGATTTGCCAGCCTTAGCCTCCCAAAGTGCTGGGATTAGAGGTGTGAGCCACTGCACCCGGCCTGATGATGATTATTATTAGTTTTTTGTTTGTTTGTTTGTTTGGGAAGACATAATTAATGAGGCAAGACCTCAGAAAGGCCATAGGGGAAGTCAACAAGTGTACACAGAGCAGGGCTAACTTTGGAGAAGAGAAAAGACACCTGGCTGGGCACAGTGGCTCGCGCCTATAATCCCAGCAGTTTGGGAGGCTGAGGCGGGCAGATTACCTGAGGTCAGGAGTTCCAGACCAGCCTGACCAATATGGTGAAACCCCATCTGTACTAAAAAATACAAAAATTAGCCGGACGTGGTGGTGCACGCCTGTAATCCCAGCTACTCAGTAGACTGAGGCAGGAGAATTGCATGATCCTGGGAGGTGGAGATTGCAGTGAGCCAAGTTCGCGCCACTGCACTCCAGCCTGGGCGACAGATGGAGACCCTGTCTCAAAAAAAAAAAAAAAAAAAAAAAAAAAAAAAGAAAAGACACCTGATTTTCTAAAATAAAAGGAAAGATAATTAGTGTTGTAGCTGGGCACAGTGGCTCATGCTTGTAATCCCAGCACTTTGAGAGGCTGAGGCAGGAGGATCACGAGCCCAGGAGCTGGAGACCAGCCTGGGAACGGAAAAACCCTGTCTCTATAAAAGCTTAAAAATTAGCTGTGTGTGGTGGTGCATACTTGTGGTCTCAACTACTTGGGAGGCTAAGGTGTTGAGGCTGCAATGAGCCGTGATCACCCCATTGCACTTCAGCCTGGGTAACAGAGTCAGATCCTGTCTCAAAAGAAAAAAAAAAGAATAGGTGTTGCCATAGGTTAAGTCCAGAAGTGAGGGAGAGGTGTTCCAAAGGACTGTCTCCATCTTCTTGGTGAATTATGAGGTCTTACCATTTGTAGACAGTATGCAGTCTGGGGGCTTTCTTATTTTCTTTTATTATAAAAACTTCAGAAAACTAGTAAGAGGAAAATAAAGATTGCCTATAATTCCACTGGGCTCACTTTGGACCCATGTGAAACTGACCACAGCATCATCATCACATTTCTTTTTTTTTTTTTTGAGTCTCGCTCTGTCCCCCAGGCTGGAGTGCAGTGGTGTGATCTCGACTCAGTGCAACCTCCGCCTCCTAGGTTCAAGTGATTCTCCTGCCTCAGCCTCCCGAGAGCTGGGATTACAGGCACATGCCACCACGACCAGCTAATTTTTTGTATTTTTAGTAGAGAGAGGGTTTTGCCATGTTGCCCAGGCTGGTCTTGAACTCCTGAGCTCAGGCAATCCACCCACTTCAGCCTCCCAAAGTGCTAGGATTACAGGTGTGAGCCACCATGCCTGGCCTTCATCACATTTCTTGAAACCCCATTTTTACCTTCATTTGGTCAGGATCACAAAAGTCCAGAAGGGTGTCACAGACATGATAACCTAAGGACTTCAGATCTTCGATGGTAAAGTGGGTGTCTCTTTTATTACCTGGAAAAAAAAAAAACCCCGCAAACATTTCCAATTAAATCTTAGTGACTGAATGTAAATCTAATTTATGATTATCTTTTTAAAAATACCACCACTGGCCAGGCGGGGTGGTTTACGCCTGTAATCCCAGCACTTTGGGAGGCCAAGGCAGGCAGATCACGAGGTCAGGAGATTGAGACCATCCTGGCTAACATGGTGAAAGCTCGTCTCTACTAAAAAATACAAAGAAAATTAGCCGGGCGTGGTGGTGGGCGCCTGTAGCCTGTAGTCCTATCTCCTCAGGAGGCTGAGGCAGGAGAATGGCGTGAATCCGGGAGGTGGAGCTTGCAATGAGCTGAGATCGTGCCACTGCACTCCAGCCTGGATGACACAGCAAGACTGTCTCAAAAAAATAAAAATAAAAAATAAAAAAATACCACCACTGGCCAGGCACAGTGGCTCATGCCTATAATCCCAGCACTTTGAGAGACCAAGGCAGGCCCTTCACTTGAGCCTAGGAGTTCGAGACTAGCCTGGGCAACATGGTGAGACCTTGTCTCTACAAAAAATACAAAAATTAGCCTGACGTTGTGGCATGTGCCTATAGTCCCAGCTACTCAGGAGGCTGAGGTTGGAGGCTAAGGTGGGAGGATCGCCTGAGCCAGGGAGGCGAGGTTTCAGTGAGCTGGGATTGCGCCACTGCACTCCAGCCTGGGTAACAGAGGGAGACCCTGAAACAAAACAAAACAAAACAAAACAAAACAAAACAAAACACCTCTTATTCTAGAATATTATGCTTCAGGAGAGTGTAGCTCTCCTAGTTTTAGTTTGGTTCAGAAGAATCTTTGGCAATGAAAAAATTATAATCATGATGGTTCTAATTACTGGGGTTTTTACTTCATGTTAGGCACTATGGGAAGTGCACTCCATGCACCATCTCACTAAGCAGTACCTACAATGCAAGTACTATTATTATTGCAGTAAAAGGAAAATGAGGCTGGGCATGGTGGTTCATGCCTGCCATCCCAGTACTTTGAGAGGCCGAGGCAGGAGGATTGCTTGAGCCAGGGAGTTTGAGGCCAGCTTGAGCAACATAAGGAGACCCTGTCTCTACAAAAAAAATAAAAAAATTAGCCAGGCATGGTGACATGCACCTATAGTCCCAGCTACACGACGGGCTAAGGTGGGAGAATCGCTTGAGCCTGGGAGGTTGAGAATGCAGAGAGCCATGATCATGCCACTACACTCTAGCCTGGGTGAAAGAAACCCTGTCTCAAAAAAACAAAATAAATAAAAATTAAAAAAAGAAAGAAAAAATGAAGTTCAAAAAGGCCAGATAATTTACCCAAGAACACAAAACTTGTTAATGCAGCTGAAATTCAACCCCCTATCTGCCTGATTCCAGGTTTTTTGTTTGTTTGTTTGTTTGTTTTGAGACAGAGTCTCGCTCTGTCACCCAAGCTGGAGTGCAATGGCACGATCTTGGCTCACTGCAACCTTCACCTCCCGGGTTCAAGCGATTCTCCTGCCTCAACCTCCAGAGTAGCTGGGACTACCGGCACGTGCCACCACGCCCAGCTAATTTTTAGTAGAGATGGGGTTTCACCATGTTGGTCACGCTGGTCTTGATCTCCTGACCTCGTGATCTGCCCGCCTTGGCCTCCCAAAGTGCTGGGATTACAGGCGTGAGCCACTGCGCCTGGCCTGATTCCAGGTCTTTAGCAACCACTATGCCATACTGCCTCATCAAATATATTTCACATTCATATGTTGGGCACTCAAATTTAGCATAAGTCTAGACAAAGAAATCCTCTAGATCAGTTATCTCCCCAGCATTCAAAGGCATTTTATCTCCCTGATGCTTTGCTTGGATTTCCCTTCCTATGCTGGCCTATGATATACAAAAGAGAATGTACCCAGGGTGGACCCGCCAAAGGTAGACTCCATGGTGTAGCTGTTTAGGATTCCCATCCGCCACATAACAACTCGTCCTGTTCCTTCTTTGCATTTTTGGACCTTAAAATTACAACTGTGAAAAGAGAACTAAAAAGAAATCCAAATTTTCTGTTAATCATAAATCAGCAAATGTAAAATATCTAAGATTCATTAATATGATACAAGAATAATTTCCTTGGGGTCCATATGTTATTTCCCAAAGCATGTTCCACAAAATACTAATTTGGAGGGATGTTAACAGGTATTACAGGGGAAAAAGGAGTTCTGTGGTCATGTTAGTCAGGGAGATGAAGGGTTAACAAAACTAAACAGGCTCTCTCTGCAAGCCCTCTTAGAGTGTTTAATATGAGGACTGTAATCTTCCAAAGGGAAGAGAGTATATTTGCAATATGTTTTCCAAACATTTTTGCCCATGAACTCTTCCTTCCTGTTGTCCCCACCCCACTCCCCTAAGGAGAATTTTGCAGGAATTGGTTTCCTAGAACATCCGTTTGGCATTCAAGGCACTAGCCAACCTTTCTA
Source organism: Homo sapiens (assembly GCF_000001405.40). Taxonomy (NCBI): domain Eukaryota; kingdom Metazoa; phylum Chordata; class Mammalia; order Primates; family Hominidae; genus Homo; species Homo sapiens. Next base: position 114,898 of record NW_019805496.1, read on the forward strand.
AGACTTATTTTCTGCCACTCCCCAACTTGAACCCCTAAATCTAGTTGTGTTTATCTTCTGTCTATGATGTGTATTCCTTACCCCCATAATCTCTGCCTGGAACCCTCTCCCTTACACTAATCTTATCACTTGGAGTTCAATATCCTCCCTTATCTTTTATGACCCCTCAGCCCTTGTGTGTCACTTGGAGTTTGTAATATACACTTGGCACCTCTCTCTATCCACCCTATCGTGCTAAAAAGATTTTGCAGTTGGAAAGTATCTCATTGTCCAGCGATTTTTAAATTGTGCTCTGTGGAATCCAGGGGTTCTATTGAGGAGCCTCAGGGCATTTCTGCTTCATGGAGGGAAGGAGCAGAGGAGACAGAGTTCCCTGCTTCAATTAGTTTGTTTTAGATATGGGTTCTGGGTGTGATTTCCTGAAAGAAAGAAAAGAAGATAAGAGAAGGAAAAGAAGGAAAGAAAAGAAGGAAAGGAAAGGAAAAGAAAGAAAGAAAAAGAAGAAGAGAAGAGAAAAAAAGAAAAGAAAAAAGAGAAGAGAAGAGAAAGAGAAAGAGAGGCCGGGTATGGTGGCTCATGCCTGTAATCCCAGCACTTTGGGAGGCCGAGACGGCCCAATCACCTGAGGTCAGGAATTTGAGACCAGCCTGGCCAAGATGGCGAAACCCCGACTCTACTAAAAATACAAAAAAATTAGCCGGGCATGGCAACATGCACCTGTAATCCCAGCTACTCAGGAGGCTGAGGCAGGAGAATTACTTGAACCTGGGAGGAGGAGGTTGCAGTGAGCTGAGATCGTGCCACTGACTCCGGCTTGGGCGACAGAGCGAGACTCAAAAAACAAAAGAGAGAGAGAGGAAGGAAGGAAAGCTTCCTCCTTTTCTTTTTTTAAACAAATAAGAGTAACAATACAAAATATTTTTATCATATATCTTTATGGGAAAAAGTCTGTAATATCGGTCAGGCACAGTGGCTAACCCCTGGAATCCTAGCACTTTGGGAGGCCGAGGTGGGTGGATCATGAGGTCAGGAGATTGAGACCATCCTGGTCAACATGGTGAAACCCCGTCTCTACTAAAAATACAAAAAAATTTAGCCAAGTGTGGTAGCTTGTGCCTGTAATCCCAGCTACCCAGGAGGCTGAGGTAGGAGAATCACTTCAACTCAGGAGGTGGAGGTTACAGTGAGCTGAGACACACCACTGCACTCCAGCCTGGGAGACAGAGTGAGACTCCATCTCAAAAAAAAAAAAAATTAAAATACTTTTCTAAAGCCAGTGCAGTGGCTCACACCTGTAATCCCAGCACTTTGGGAGGCTGAGGTGGTGAGGCGGGAGAGTTGCTTGAACCCAGGAGTTCAAGACCAGCCTAGGCAACATAGTGAGACCCTGTCTCTATTAAAAAAAAAAAAAAAAAACTTAAAAAAATCCAGTCTAGGCCGTGCGTGGCGTGGTGGCTCAAGCTTGTAATCCCAACACTTTGGGAGACCAAGGCGGGCAGATCACAAGGTAAGGAGTTTGAGACCAGCCTGGCCTACATCTCTACTAAAAATACCCCATCTCTACTAAACCCCATCTCTACTAAAAATACAAAAGTAGCCAGGCATGGTGGCGCCTGCCTGTAATCTCAGCTACTCGGGAGGCTGAGGCAGGAGAATTGCTTGAACCCGGGAGGCGGAGGTTGCAGTGAGTGGAGATCGTGTTACTGCACGATCTGGGTGACAGAGCAAGACTACGTCTTGAAAAAATAAATAAAAGGACGGGTATGGTGGCTCACACCTATAATCCCAGCACTTTGGGAGGCTGAGGCGGGTGGTCAGGAGTTCAAGACCAGCCTTGCCAAGATGGTGAAACCCTGTCTCTATTAAAAATACAAAAATTAGCTGGGTGTGGTGGCGGGTGCCTGTAATCCCAGACCCTCGGGAGGCTGAGGCAGAGAATTGCTTGAACCTGGGAGATGGAGGTTGCAGTGAGCCGAGATCGCGCCACTGCACTCCATCCTGGGCGACAGAACAAGACTCTGTCTCAAAAAAAAAAAATAAGGAGAAGAAAAAAAAATAAGTAAAATAAATAAATAAATAAATAAAAATCCAATCTACTTTCTTCTTCTGAAAGCTACATTTTGTGGATCTATTTATGATGTGAAAAACCAGCTTCTACACCAATGAAGATTACCTGTATATGCCTGTCACAAAATTAGTCAATTATTAAAAACTTTTATATTGTTTTCATTAAGCTCTTTAATATCTTACAATTATTTGTGATCTTCTAGTATATAACCTTTCCTATGAAGACTCATGACATTAGCATTTTGCTTGTCCTTCAATCTCTTCTTCCAGGGTCAACCACCACAGGATAGGTGATAGATAACTGTATATGCAAGAATTTCAACTTATGGAGGGGCGCAGTAGCTCACGCCTGTAATCTCAGCACTTTGGGAGGCCGGGGCAGGCGGATCACTTGAGGTCAGGAGTTTGAGAACAGCTTAGCCAACGTGGTGAAACCCCGTCTCCACTAAAAGTACAAAAAAATTTAGCCAGGCATGGTTGTGCATGCCTGTACTCTCAACTACTCAGGAAACTGAGGCAGGAGAATTGCTTGAATCTGGGAGGCAGAGGTTGCAGTGAGCCAAGATTGCACCACTACACTCCAGCCTCGACAGAGCGAGACTCCGTCTCAAAAAAAAAAATAAAAAAGGATACCACATTTTATTTATCTGTTGATTGGTTGATGGACACAGCAATTCTTTTTTATTCTATTGTTTAGTAGTGGCAGGGGTCTCCCTATGTTGCCCAGGCTGGTCTTGAACTCCTGGGCTCAAGCAATATGCCCACCTCGGCCTCCCAAAGTGCTAGGATTACAGGCATGAGCCACTGTAGCTGGCAGGACACAGCAATTCTTTTTTTTTTTGAGATGGAGTTCTGCTCTTGTTGCCCAGGCTGGAGTGCAATGGCACGATCTCTGCTCACTGCAACCTCTGCTTCCCAAGTTTAAGCGATTCTCCTGCCTCAGCCTCCCAAGTAACTGGCATTACAGGCATGTGCCACCATGCCTGGCTACTTTTTGTATTTTTAATAGAGATGGGGTTTCTCCGTGTTGGTCAGGCTGGTCTCGAACTCCTGACCTCAGGTAATCTGCTTGCCTTGGCCCCCCAAAGTGCTGGGATTACAGGTGTGAGCCACTGTGCCTGGCCCCACAGCAATTCTTAAAACCACGCTTTTCTAAATTCTTGAAGTCTAGGTTGCTCGGATTTACCAAAGATAATAAAAAGAGATACAAAATGCCAAATAAAACACTACATATAGGAAGCAGTGAGTTCCCATGTCCCTAACTCAATGGAGAGAAAATTACATTATGTGCTTACCTTATCTGGTGCATTTTTGCATAACATTAAAGGAAAGACTCGTTCATGAAGCCAGTATTTGCGATTGTTGTTATTACAGCCATACAGGAAGATATTATTCTTACGACTGTGGCCATGGAAATCACAATACAACAGAACCTCTCTTTCTTCAAGAAGTCTATTGAGGGGGCAAACAAAGGACTCAGTGGACACCCAAATGCATACAAATAATTAAGGATCATTTGGTATCTCTTCCTTAAATACAGCTGTTAATACTTTCCCTCCTAAGAAAATCTCAACTCCATTGGCCTTCAATGGACCCTATCTCCATTCTCAGCCACTGCAGAAAACATGTCATCAGCTTGCCTTGCCAGTCAGAAGGACTTGAAATGGAAAATTTCTTTTTTTCTTTTTTGAGACAGGGTCTTGCCCTGTTGCTCAGGCTGGAGTGTAGTGGCCTGACCATGGCTCACTGTAGCCTTGACCTCCTGGGCTCAAGTCATCCGCCCACCTCAGCCTCCTAAGTAGTTGGGACTACAGGCACACACCAATACACCCAGCTATTTTTGTTTCTGGTTTTTTTTTTTTTTTTTTTTTTGTAGAGGCAGGGTGATAGAGTTTGGGTATTTGTCTCTGCCCAAATCTCAGGTTGAGATATAATCCCTAGTGTTGGAGGTGGCGTCTAGCGAGAGGTATTTGGATAGTGGGGGTGGATCCCTCATGAGTGGCTTGGGCCATCCCCTGGTGATACATGAGCTCTCACTCTGACTTTGCACAAGATCTGGTTGTTTAAAAATGTGTGACACTGGCCGGGCACGGTGGCTCATGCCTATAATCCCAGCACTTTGGTAGGCTGAGGTGGGTGGATCACCTGAGGTTAGGAGTTCGAGACCAGCCTGACCAACCTGGTGAACCCCATCTCTACTAAAAATACAAAATTAGCTAGGTGTTGTGGTGCATACCTGTAATGCCAGCTACTTGGCAGGCTGAGGCAGGAGAATCACTTGAACACAGGAGGTGGAGGTTGCAGTAAACCGAGATTGCGCCATTGCATTCTAGCCTGGGCATCAAGAGTGAAACTCTATCTCAAAAAAAAAAAAAAAAAAAATGGTGGGGGGAGGGGGGAGGGATAGCATTAGGAGATATACCTAATGCTAAATGATGACTTAATGGGTGCAGCACACCAGCATGGCACATGTATACATATGTAACTAAGCTGCACATTGTGCACATGTACCCTGAAACTTAAAGTATAATAATAATAAAAAAATAAATAAATAAATAATAAAAAAAAATAAAGTTTAGTTAGATCTTCCTACATGCTGTCTGCAATTCAGAAGGGTGCCTGGTGCACACAGGTAATGATACAGTAAGTTAATCCTTTAATTAATTAAATCCAGGCCCATTAACACCAGAACTGGGCTTTGACTGAACAGATAAAATATTTGACTTAATATCAACAGAGGGGACAGTATTATATGTTTTGTCCTACAAAAATATAGCTCTCTACTAAAAATGAAAAAGAACCCCACTTATACTAGAAATGATGGAAAAACATTCCCGTTATCAATTATTCATTGAAACTAAAGAATATTTAGTTTGGCTGCTAGCACAGTGCCTGGCACACAGTAAATATTCAATAAATGTATGTGAAATTGAAAAAAAAAAATGAACTCCGTCTCAAAAAAAAAAAAGTGTGGCACCTCCCCTACACTTATTCTCTCTCTCCTACTCCTGCTTTCGCCATATGATGTGCCTGCTCCCTCTTTGCCTTCTGCCATGATTGTACGCTTCCTGAGGGCTCCCTAGAAGTTGAGCAGATGCTAGCACCATGCTTCTTGTAAAGCTGCAGAACTATGAGCCAATTAAACCTCTTTTCTTTATAAATTACCCAGTCTAAGGTATTTCTTTCTTTCTTTTTTCTTTTCTTTCTTTCTTTTTTTTTTTTTTTGTTAAGACACAGTCTCACTCTGTCACCTAGGCTGGAGTGCAGTGGCGTGATCTCGGCTCACTGCAACCTCTGCCTCCCAGGTTCAAGCAATTCTAGTGCTTCAGCCTCCTGAGTAGCTGGGATTACAGGCGTGCACCACCATGCCAGGCTAATTTTTGTATTTTTAGTAGAGACGGGGTTTCACCATGTTGGCTAGGCAGGTCTCAAACTCCTGACCTCAAGTGATCTGCCTGCTTCAGCCTCCCAAAGTGCTGGGATTACAGACATGAGCCACCACGCCTGGCCAGATATTTCTTTATAGCAATGCAAATACAACCTAATACACGGGGTCTCACTGTGTTGCTCAGGCTGGTCTCCAACTCCTGGGCTCAAGTGATCCTCCTGCCTCGGCCTCTCAAAGTGCTGGGATTACAGGCATGAGTCACTGTGCCTGACCAGAAATGGAAAAGTTCTGATTTGGAAAGGGGTGGTGGGTAGCCTTGCGTAAGTTGACAAGGAAGTGCAAAAAAGCCTATTGAGAAAAAGCTCACCATGGTGCAGACCTGTGAAGAAAGAGAGGGAGGCAGAGAGTGGGCAGTTGCAGGAAAGAAAAAGAACCAAAGAAAGCCTTGATTCCTGACTTTCGAGGGCCAGTTCCTACAAGGCTCAGCTCTTCTTTGTCTCATGATCACCCAGGACACCTATTCCAGCTTTCCAAATATGTTCACTTTCCCCATGATGAGTATAATAACAACAATGCTACACATTTATAATATGCTGGGTACTATAGTAAATAGATCATGTGATTATCTCAATCCTCACAGTAACCACCCAAGGCAGGTATTATTTTTCCACTCTACAGATGAGAAAGCTGAAGCTCAGACACATTAAATCACTTAGCCAAGGTCACAGAACCAGCCAGCAGTAAAAACAGGTCTCAAACTCAGGCCTGTCTGACTCTGAAACATATGCTCTTTAGCTATGCCTGCCATGGTGCCATCTCAGCTCATTGCAACCTCTGCCTCCCAGGTTCAAGTGATTCTCCTGACTCGGCCTCCTGAGTAGCTGGGATTACAGGCACCCACCATCATGCCCGGCTAATTTTTCTATTTTTAGTAGAGACGAGGTTTCACCATGTTGGCCAGGCTGGTCTCAAACTCCTGACCTCAGGTGATCTGCCTGCCTCAGCCTCCCAAAGTGCTGGGATTACAGGTGTCAGCCACTGAGCCCAGCCCACATATTCTTATATGCTGTATTTTCATTTCCAATGGCATGAAAATTCCTTTAAGGTGGGTGCTATTACATTATAGCCTTCAATGCTTTTATACAGGCTTGAAAACTGCTGACTGATGTTATGATTCTTTCTTTGTGATAGGCAATATAAGATCGTAAAAGGAATTTAGACTCTGGAACCAGAGAGAGAGCCTGTATTTAAATATCTACTTTGTCACTTAATAGCTTTATGACCTTAGGCAAGTTACTTAACCTACCCACTTCTCAATTTTTTTTTTTTTTTTTTTTGAGATGGAGTCTCACTCTGCCACCCAGGCTAGAGTGCAGTGGCACGCTCTTGGCTCACTGCAATCTCTACCTCTTTGGTTCAAGCGATTCTCCTGCCTCAGCCTCTTCAGTAGCTGGGATTACAGGCACCCACCAGCACGCCTGGCTAATTTTTGTATCTTTAGCAGAGACTGGGTTTCGCCATGTTGGCCAGGTTGGTCTTGAACTCCTGACCCCAGGTAATCCGCCCACTTCAGCCTCCCAAAGTGCTGGGATTACAGCCGTGAGCCACCACGCCTGGCCTAGGTTCTCAATTTCTGTATCATACAACATGCGATATTGACTGTGCCTACCTCATAATGTTAATGTGAAGATTAAATGAGTCATGTGTGTAATGCACCTACCATACAGCTTGCCACTTCATGCATACACATTTACTAATTGTTAGCTACTATTATTATGATACAAGTCTCATCATGAAGACCTATGAACTCCCCTGAACTCTGACCTTTTCCATTCAATTATTTCACTTACAAGTGAAATGACTCTTGCTGAAATGTTGCATGTCCAGTTTCAACCCAAAGACAAGACATGATTTAAAAGTCTGAAAATTAACAAAGTCACTTGACTACAAAGAGACTGGTAAGGGCTCTGTCTCCAAAGTCATACTCAATTCCTTTAACAACAGAAGAGACCTCATACCCCATCAGGTAGGGATATCTGGTGCTAGGACTCATAGCAGTCACAGAAAGATCAACAGATAAAAAGTCTCACCTTTTGATCATGTTCCTGGTGTACCAAATACAAGGGAAAGACTCCTTCAGAATGGTTTTATAATGCCTGTTCAAATCCCTTCCGGCCAAGGAACACCGATAATTCCCCACAATCACACCATCTGGATTTAACATGGGAAGCACCTTGAAGACAAAAATATCTCTGAGGAGCTGGGCATCTGGGGAGTTGCTAAGGATGAAGTCCAAAAAGCCTTTCATAACCCAGGAGCCATTACTTTCTCCAGGGTGAACTCTGGCACTCAAGACCACAGCTTTCTTTGCAGCTGCCTCTTGAGGGGTCTGGGATGGGTTGGTGATGGTGAGCAAGTAAACGGTATTTCCTGCTAGGCTCCTGCATAAAGTTTGGAGCTTGCAGAACTGAGACTGGATAGGGTTGTTTGCCACTGACAGGAGGTAGCATTGCAAATCAGTGTATGTATATGGGTAGAAGTGTGCAAAGAAGCAAGTGTCCTGGTCATATGGAAACTGAATGGTCCACGTGAGACAGTAGAAGGGCTGCTGCCCATCATCCGTGTTGTTCTTGTAGTACTTGATTTCATTTCCTTCTCTCCTCCAGCCAATATTGCGGGTGTTGGCATCCAATTGGGAGTACAAGAGTGGCTTCATCCCTACAGTATAAAGACTCTTGGGTTTTAGCAAGTTGACAATGGTGAAGCGATAGGTAGCATCTTTTCTGGTGTTCTGAACACGAAAATAAAACCACTGAGTGTGTTTGTTAGTGTAGAGGTCAGTTCGCAAGGTGAGTTCATACTCATAGGTGTCTCTGTAATGGAGAAAATAGAACAACTCTGTAAGCTTACACCCTGCCTTAAAAAACAAATTGGGAAAATGTTGTTTTCTCCTGGTAAAAACAGGTCTTATTACAACAGAAAAATCTGCTACCTTAATCATTTATTCTCTGTAATCCCAGCACTTTGGGAGGCTGAGGCGGGCTGATTACCTGAGGTCAGGAGTTCAAGACCAGCCTGGCCAACATGGTGAAACCCCATCTCTACTAAATATACAAAAAAAAAAAAAAATTAGCCAGGTGTGGTGGCGGGTGCCTGTAATCCCAGCTACTCAGGAGGCTGAAGCAAGAGAATCACTTGAACCCACGAGGTGTAGGTTGCAGTGAGCTGAGATCGTGCCATTGCTCTCCAGCCTGAGCAACAGAGCAAGACTCCATCTTGAGGAAAAAACAAACAAACAAACAAAAACAATAAGGAAGTATATCTATGGTACTGCCATAGAAAAACACCTGAAATTTATGAAGTGGAAAAAAAATTTGCCAATTTGCAAAACAATATGTACATACACCATTAATCAATTTTTATTTTAAAAATATATAAATGGCCGGGCACAGTGGCTCATGCCTGTAATCCCTGCACTTTGGGAGGCCGAGACGGGCAGATCGCGAAATCAGGAGATCGAGACCATCCTGGCTAACATGGTGAAATCCCGTCTCTACTAAAAATACAAAAAAATTAGCCAGGCATGGTGGCAGGCGCCTGTAGTCCTAGCTACTCAGGAGGCTGAGGCAGGAGAATGGCATGAACCTGGGAGGCGGAGCTTGCAGTGAGCCAAGATCATGTCACTGCACTCCAGCCTGGGCAACAGAGAGAGACTCCATCTCAAGAAAAAAAAAAAAAAAAAAAATATATATATATATATATATATATATAATTTGTGCATATTACATATACACACACAGAAAAATATTAAGGCATATACACTAAACTTAATATTTGCTGCATCTAGGAAGTATGACTATAGGACTTTTTATGTTACATATTTTTACTAATACAAATTTTAGGTGAGCTCTAATTTCTTCTATAAGCAAAGTAAACAATTTAGAAAACATTTTATTTTGGGGAAAAAATGAGTAATAATTACTCCATTTTTCTTCATACCCATAACTATTCCCCATCACCTCTTTCTTTTTTGCAAGTACTTCTGATTCCTAATATCATTACTGAAGACACCTTCTAGTCACTCCAATTATCATCCCTTTGAGAAATTGTTACTCACACTCTGACAGCTTTTTGCAGATTCCCACTCTCAAACCTTGATTCAAACAGTAGAGTATTATCTTCTGGTCCTTGCAACGTGACAGCAAGTTCCTTGACAATTCCTCGTTTGCCTCCCACTCTGGAACTGGTAAAATAGGAACCTTCTATAGGCACTGCAGAGAAAAGATATATTTAGGCTAGGTTCTACTCAGAATCCACTCATTCAGCAAATACTTAAGTGGCCCCTCTAAGTGGTCAACACTATTCTAGACCAACAATGAAATTTCTAATTTTCAACTATCTTTGCAGAGACTTTTAATCTTTTTTTTTTTTTTTTTTTTTTTTTGGGACAGAGTCTCACTCTGTCACCCAGGCTGGAGTGCAGTGACACGATCTTGGCTCACTGCAAGCTCCGCCTCCCAGGTTCATGCCATTGTCCTGCCTCAGCCTCCCGAGTAGCTGGGACTACAGGCGCCCACCACCACGCCTGGCTAATTTTTTTGTATATTTAGTAGAGACGGAGTTTCACCGTGTTAGCCAGGATGGTCTCGATCTCCTGACCTTGTGATCTGCCCGTCTCAGCCTCCCAAAGTGCTGGGATTACAGGTGTGAGCCACCACGCCTGGCCATCCAACATCAATTTTTTTTTAAATGAATTATGCTTTTGGTGTCATATCTAGAATCCACTGCCACATCCAAGGTCATGAAGATTTATCCCTATGTTTTGATTTATCCCTATGTTTTCTTTGTTTGAGACAGGGTCTCACTCTATCACCCAGGCTGGAATGCAGCAGCGTGAATCACAGTTCACTGCAGCCTCTACCTTTTGTGCTCAAGTGATCCTCCCACCTCAACTTCCTGAGTAGCTGGGACCACAGGAGTGCACCACCACACCCAACTAATTGTTTAATTTTTTTGTAGAGATGAGGTCCCACTATGTCACCCAGGCTATTCTTGAACTCCAGGGCCCAAGCGATCCTCCTTCTTCAGCCTCCCAAAGTGCTGAGTTTACAGACATGAGCCATTGCATCCTGCAGATACCTGTTTCTTTCTTTCTTCCCTCCCTGCCTCCCTCCCTCCCTTCCTTCCTTCCTTTTTTTGACAGGGTCTTGCTCTGTCACCCAGGCTGGAGCAGTTGCACAATCATATCTCATGGCAGCCTCAAACATCTGAGTTCAAGTGAACCTCCTGCCTCAGCCTCCTGAGTAGCCTGGACTACAGGCGTGCACCACCCTGCCCGGCTCATTTGTTTTAAGATTTTTATAGTTTCAGTACTTATCTTTAGGCCACTGATCCATTTTGGGTTAATTTTTAAATATGGTATGAAGTAGGGATTCAACTTCATTCTTTTGAGTGTGGCTATACAGTTATCCCAACACCATTTGTTATAGAGGCCATTCTTTCTCCACTGAACAGTCTTGGCACCCTTGTCAAAAATGAATTGACCAAAAATATGAGTTTATTTTTGGACTCTCAGTTCTGTTTTAGTGACCTATATGCCTACCCTGTGTTAGGATTATACTGTTTTGATTACTGTATGTTCGTAGTGTTTTGAAATCAAGAAATGTGAATCTTCGAATTTTGTACTTCTTTTTTTGTATTGGCTATTCAGGGCCCTTTACAATTCCATATAAATTTGAGGAACATCTTTTCGTTCTGCATAAAAGCCCTTTGAAGTTTCCAGATTCTAGAGGGAAAGTTTTCAGTCTTTCCCCACTGAATATGTTATTCTTGTCATGTGTAGGTCACCAGGTGTCTTCTCCGTTCCATTATATCAGTGGTCAGCCAGTGACCAGACAGAGATTTCTTCAATAACCAGGGCTTGGCTAGGTGTAGTGGCTCATGCCTGTAATCCCAGCACTTTGGGAGGCTGAAGTGAGAGGATTGCTTGGGCTCAGAAGTTTGAGACCAGCCTGGGCAACATGGCAAAATGTCGTGTGATATACTCTGTACAAAAAATACAAAAGTTAGCTGGGTGGTGGTGTGCACCTGTAGTCCCAGCTACTCGGGATGCTGAGGCGGCAGGATTGCTTCAGCTGAGAGGTCGAGGCTGCAGTGATTTGTGATTTTTCCACTGCACTCCAGCTTGGGTGACAAAGTGAGATCCTATCATTCATTCATTCATTCATTCACTCACTCCCAAGCCAAAAAAAAAAAAAGCACAAAACTTTCCTAGTCTGGGCAGACTGGCTTTGAGGTGAGGCACTCCTCAACACTAAGTCAGGCTGCCAAAAACTCGATGTTAGCCTTCCTCTTTAGTTGCACAGAGCCCAACCACCAACCAGAGATGCAAGCCTAGGATCCTCTCAGGTTTTTTCTGAATGTGGGTCCAGCCCTAGCCATGTATACTGCGTTCTCCAGTATATGTGGAGGCCCTTCCAAGTGCTCATTTCCCCAAGAATCTTTCTCCTCAGCTTCTTTCCCAGGCTTTTGGGCCTATCTGCTCCTTGCCTATTTGCTATCCCTTGCCCCAGGTAGCTATGAGCAGTGTATGTCTTTAAATACACTTTAAAATTTGATAGATGCAGATGGCACCTGGAAAAACTGCTTTAGCCTGAGGGAGGCAGTAACAAAAGTCAGTCTTTCCTCTGGCTCCTCAAGGAATTGTGAGAAAGGTAAAAAAGAGTCACGACCAGTTTGAGAATAAGGTCTACATTGTCCTCCTCCCCTCTTCCACTTCCAACACCAGCATTCCACATCAGGATGGCGGGCTGCTATCCTCATGACCTCTGCTAGGCAGGGGAATGGGGAATAGTAAGTGGGCAAACAAAAATGGCACAACAGGCCAGGCGTGGTGGCTCATGCCTGTAATCCCAGCACTTTGGGAGGCTGAGGCGGGTGGATCACTTGAGGTCAGGAGTTCAAGACCAGCCTGGCCAACATGGTGAAACCCAGTGTCTACCAAAAAGATAAAAAATTAGCCAGGTGTGATGGCGGGTGCCTGTAATTCCAGCTACTCAGGAGGCTGAGGCAGGAGAATTGCTTGAACCCGGGAGGCAGAGGTTGCAGTGAGCCGAGATTGCGCCACTGCACTCCAGACTGGGCAACAGACCGAGACTCCGTCTCAAAAAACAAACAAACAAAACAAAAACAAAAACGCCACAACAAAGGCTGGGCATGGTGGCTCACGCCTGTAATCCCAGCACTTTGGGAGGCTGAGGTGGGTGGATCACCTGAGGTCAGGAGTTAGAGACCAGCCTGGCTGAAATAGTGAAACCCTGTCTCTACTAAAAATGCAAAAATTAGTCAGGTGTGATGGTAGGCAACTATAATTCTAGCTACTTGGGAGGCTGAGGCAGGAGAATCGCTTGAACCTGGGAGGCAGAGATTGCGGTGAGCCGAAATCACACCACTGCACTCCAGCCTGGGCGACGAAAGTGAAACTCTGTCTCAAAAAAAAAAAAAAAAAAAACAGTTGAGGGGAATGGGACCTGTAATCCTAGCACTTTGGGAGGTTGAAGTGGGTAGATTGCTTGAGCACAGGAGTTTGAGACCAGCCTGGGCAGCGGTGAAACCCTGTCTCCACTAATAATACAAAAAATTAGCTGGGCAGGGTGGTACATGCCTGTAGCCCCAGCTACTCAGGAGGCTAAGGTTGGACAATTCACTTGAGCCTATAAGGTGGAGGATACAATGAGCCATGTTCATCCCACTGCACTCCAGCCTGGGCGACAGAGGAAGATCCTGTCTAAAAATTAAAAAAAATAGTTGGGAAACATTTTTTCCTCTTCTGTTTTCAGAGTTGGTGAAATATTGGTATTATTTCATCTTTAAATGTTTAACAGAATTCAAACAAACCAGCCAGGTGTGGTGGGTCACGCCTGTAATCTCAGCACTGTGGGAGGCGGAGGCAGGTGGATCACTTGAGGCCAGAAGTTTGAGACCAGCCTGGCCAATATGGTGAAACTCCGTCTGTACTAAAAATACAAAAAAAAAAAAAAAAAAAAAAAAAAGAAAAAAAAAAATTAGCTGGGCGTGGTGGCGCACACCTGTAATCCCAGCTACCCTGGAGGCTGAGGAACAAATCGCTTGAACCTAGAAAGTGGAGGTTGCAGTGCCATGCACTCCAGCCTGGGTGACAGAGTAAGTGAGACTCTGTCTCAAAAAAAAAAAAAAAAAAAGATTTCAAACAAACCTTGTGAAGTAGGTCATTTGAGCCTGGGTTTTGTTTGTTTGTTTGTTTGTTTTTTGTTTTTTGAGACAGAGTCTTGCTGTGTTGCCCAGGCTGGAGTGCAGTGGTGTGATCTTGCCTCACTGCAACCTCCACCTCCCTGGTTCAAGCAATTCTCCTGCCTCAGCCTCCCAAGTAGCTGGGACTACAGGTGCGCACCACCATACCAGGCTACTTTCTTTGTGTTTTTAGTAGAGAGACAGGGTTTCACGTAGGCCAGGCTGGTCTCAAACTCAAGACCTCAGCTGATCCACCTGCCTTGGCCTCCTAAAGTGCTGGGATTAGAGGCCTGAACTACCAGGCCCCAGGTGGGCCTGGGTTTTCTTTGTGGAAAGATTTCTAATTATTATTTCTTTGTTATAATGTATTTAAACCTTTTATTTCTTCCTTGAGTCAGTTTTTGTAACTTTCTAGCAATTCGTCCTGTTGATCTAAATTGTCTAATTTGTTGTCATAAAGTTGTTAATAGTATTACCTTGTAATTTTTTTGATTTGTACAGGTTTGGTCCTTATGTTACCTTTTTCATTTCTGATTTTGATAATTTGTGCCTCTTTTCCTTTCTTGGGTTAGCAAATGTGTTTCAATTTTGTTGATGTTCCAAACAACCAACTTTTGGTTTGTTTTTCTCCATCAGTTTTCTGTCTTCTATTCAATGCTTTCCTTTTTTATTTTTTATTTATTTATTGATTTTTGAGATAGAGTCTCGCTCTGTCACCCAGGCTGAGTATAGTGGCACAATCTTGGCTCACTGCAACCTCTGCCTCCTGGGTTCATGCAATTCCCCTGCCTCAGCCCCCCAAGTAGCTGGGATTACAGGGGCATGCCACCACACCCAACTAATTTTTGTATTTTTAGTAGAAACAGGGTTTCACCATGTTGGTCAAGCTGGTCTCACACTCCTGATCTCAAGTGATCCACCCACCTCAGCCTCCCAAAGTGCTAGGATTACAGGTATGAGGCACCACATCCAGCCTCTTAATGATGATGATGATGATTTTTTGAGATGGAGTCTCGGTCTGTCGCCCAGGCTGGAGTGCAGTGGCACAATCTTGGCTCACTGCAACCTCCACCTCCCAAGGTTCAAGGGATTCTCCTGCCTCAGCCTCCTGAATAGCTGTAACTACAGGCGCATGCCATCATGCCCGGCTAATTTTTTGTATTTTTAGTAGAGATGGGGTTTCACCATGTTAGCCACGATGGTCTCGATCTCCTGACCTTATGATCCGCCCACCTTGGCCTTCCAAAGTGCTGGGATTACAGGCGTGAGCCACCTCGCCAAGCCTACTTTTTTTTTTTTTTTTTTTTTTTGAGACGGAGTCTTGCTCTGTCGCCCAGGCTAGAGTGCAGTGGCGCAATCTTGGCTCACTGCAAGCTGTGCCTCCCGGGTTCACGCCATTCTCCTGCCTCAGCCTCCCGAGTAGCTGGGACTACAGGCGTGTGCCACCACGCCCGGCTATTTTTTTTGTATTTTTAGTAGACACGGAGTTTTTCCGTGTTAGCCAGGATGGTCTCAATTTCCTGACCTCGTCGTCCGCCCGCCTCAGACTCCCAAAGTGCTGGGATTACAGGCGTGAGTCATCGCGCCCGGCCTTTTTTTATTTTATTTTTTATTTTTTTTTAATGAGACGGAGTTTCACCCTTGTTGCCGAGGCTGGAGTGCAGTGGCGCCATCTTGGCTCACAGCAACCTCCAACTCCCAAGGTTTAAACGATTCTCCTGCCTCAGCCTCCTGAGTAGCTGGGTTTACAGGCGCCTGCCACCATGACTGGCTAATTTACTGTGTTTTAGTAGAGACAGAGTTTCACCATGTTGGGCAGGCTGGTCTCGAACTGCCGACCTCAGGTGATCTGCCCATCTTGGCCTCCCAAAGTGCTGGCATTACAGGTATGAGCCACCAAGCCCAGTCTACATAATTTTTTTTTTTTTTTTTTTTTTGAGACGGAGTTTCACTCTTGTTGCCCAGGCTGGAGTGCATGGCACGATCTTGGCTCACCACAACCTCTGCTTCCCAGGTTCAAGAGACTCTCCTGCCTTAGCCTCCCAAGTAGCTGGGATTGCAGGCATGCACTACCACACCTGGCTAATTTTGTATTTTCAGTAGAGATAGGGTTTCTCCATGTTGGTCAGGCTGGTCTGGAACTCCCAACCTCAGGTGGTCTGCCTGCCTCGGCCTCCCAAAGTGCTGGGATTATAGGCGTGAGCCACAGCGCCCAGCCACATTCTTATTTTTATTACTACTTTCCTGCTGCTTGCTTTGGGTTTAGTTGGCTCTTATTTTTCCAGTTTACTAAGGTAGAAGCTTAGGTAATTGATAAGAAGCCTTTTTCGTTTTGAAATTCAGGCACTTAAAGCCATAAATACCCATAAATATCCCTGGCACTGGTTCATTTTGTTTTGCATCCTATAACTTTTGATATGTTATGGTTTTATTTTCACTACATTCAAAATATTTTTGAAGTCTACTTGTGATTTCTTTAACCCACAGTTTATTTAGAAAGATGTTATTCAATTTCCACATATTTATGGATATCTCATATTTCATTCTGTTGTTGATTTCTAACTTAATTTTATTATGGTCAGAGAATGTACTTTGTATTATTTTAATCCTTTTACATGTATAAAAACTTCCATTACGGCCTAACATATGGTTTATCCTGGGGAATCTAACAGGTACCCTTAAAAAGAATGTGTATGACTTCAGTAGGAATGGCAAAAAAAAAAAAAAAAAAAGAATGAGTATTTTGTTGTTGTTAGGTATGGTGTTCTGCATATTTCTATAAAAGATATATATTCAATCCTTAGAAGCTTAAAACTCAACACAGGAAACTGCATTACTAAATGACAGTCATATGCACATAGAACAAAGTACTCACTAAAGTACGTATAACAGGTGGAGAAAAGAAATCTCCCCAAAGATGATCCAACATCTGATTTTCAGGAAGGAGAATAACAAGAGAGAAGCTGTAAAATGGACTTAGAACTATTAAAAATAATGTACTTTGATTTTAGAAAATTATCGAAATTTTGCAGCAGACTGGTTATGACTCCTCCTCCAGGCTCCCACTCATGTTGGCCTGGAAAAGAGTTTACCACTAAACTATGGATTTTTAAAATCACTTTTATTATGGAACATATGTTTATTATAACTTTGTCATGATTAACCATTCATTGTTCAGTGTAATGACAATACCTGAATCTAATTGATAGACAACTGTTCCTTTTTTCTCTCCTACAATCTCTGGTACCTTTTCATTTCCTTTAGGCTGATAGAAATATTCTGGTTGAGGTGGAGCCCACTCTGAAAGAAGACATTTTAAAAAGTACAAAATAAGAAATAATGTAAACGGCACTATCAGAACTAATATAAAATAATAATAATAATTTTTCAAATGGCTAGTTTGGTTGAATCAAACCAAATTCCCACCCTAAATTTCCTGCTTGTTTATAAAATAATTATGTCTTGTTTCTTTCTATAAAGACTTATGAGGACACTTTTAACAAAGAGCATATAAAATGAAATATAAACTATCCATAGAAGACCTAAGAATAAGTCAGAAAGGTCAATATAGCTGCTGCAACAGCTCTTCAAAATTTGGCCCTGAGTTTCCTTAAAGTGAGCAAAATATGGTCATTAACATAATTTTTTTTATTACCATAGAGGACTAGGTCTATCAATTGTTTCAGAGGAAGCAAGCCTTTTTCTTTTCTTTCTTTTTTTTTGAGATGGAGTCTTGCTCTATTGCTCAGGCTAGAGTGCAATGGTGCAATCTCGGCTCACCGCAACCTCCGCCTCCCGGGTTCAAGCGATTCTCTCGCCTCAGCCTCCTGAGTAGCTGGGATTACAGACATGTGCCACCACTCCCGGCTAATTTTGTATTTTTAGTAGAGACAGGGTTTCTCCATGTTGGTCAGGCTGGTCTCAAACTCTCGACCTCAGGTGATCCGCCCTCCTCTGCCTCCCAAACTGCTGGGATTACAGGTGTGAGCCACTGTGCCTAGCGAAGGCTTTTTCATTAACACTGAATTTAAAAAGATTTCTTTGGCTGGGTGCAGCGGCTTATGCCTGTAATCCCAGCACTTTGGGAGGACAAGGTGGGTAGATTACCTGAGGTCGGGAGTTCGAGACCAGCCTGGCCAACATAGTGAAACTCTGCCTCTACTAAAAATACAAAAATTAGCCGGGTATTGTGGCATGTGCCTGTAGTCCCAGCTACTCGGGAGGCTGAGGTAGGAGAATCGCTCTAACCTGGGAGGCGGAGGTTGCAGTGAACCGAGATCACGCCACTGCGTGCCAGCCTGGGCGAACAGAGCAAGACTCTGTCTCAAAATAAATTTAAAACAAACAAACCAACAAACAAACAAACAAACATTTCCTTTACGGAACTTGAACTTTTCAATATCATTTTTAGAAGAGTAGCCACTGATGAATTCCAAGAGCATATAAAGATACACCTCAGTCAAATATTACATGAATTTATTTTCTCGAAGATTATAGGAAGTGATGAGGCTTTCACAATTTAGTTTAAACAATAAGGTGCTTGCATGCCTGTAATCCCAGCACTTTGGGAGGCCAAGGAGAGTGAATCATGAGGTCAGGAGATCGAGACCAGCCTGGCCAACACGGTGAAACCCCGTCTCTATTAAAAAATACAAAAATTAGCCGAGTTACAGTGGGCACCTGTAATCCCAGCTACTCAGGAGGCTGAGGCAGAATTGCTTGAACCCAGGAGACAGAGGCTGCAGTGAGCTGACGCGGTGCCACCGCACTCCAGCCTGGGCGACAGAGTGAGACTCTGTCTCAAAAAAAAAAACAAACAAACAACCAATAAGGTGCTTATTAATACAATTTAGTTTAAACAATAAGGTGTTTGTTAATAAGTTTCTTTGAAACATTTTTTTAAAAATTGCTTTATAAAAGATCATGTAGTTGGCTGGGCGCAGTGAGTGGCTCACGCCTGTAATCCCAGCACTTTGGGAGGCCGAAGCGGGCGGATCATGAGGTCAGGAGTTCGAGACCAGCCTGACCAACATGGTGAAACCCCGTCTCTACTAAAAAAAGTAAAAAATTAGCCAGGCGTGGTGGTGCACACCTGTAATCCCAGCTACTCAGGAGGCTGAGGAGGGAGATTGCTTGAACCTGGGAGGCGGAGGTTGCAGTGAGCCGAGATTGTGCCATTGCACTCCAGACTGGGCGACAGAGCAAGACTCCGTCTCAAAAAAAAAAAAAAAAAAGATCTTGTAGTTTAGTGAATTACCACAGCATTAACTTGGTTATTAAATTCCAGTGTCCTTGCTGGGGGTGGTGGCTCACACCTGTAATCTCAGCACTTTAGGAGGCCAGGAGGATCATTTGAGGCCAGGAGTTTGGGAGTAGCCTGGGCAACATAGTGAGACCATGTGTCTCTACAAAAAAACTATTTAAAAATGAGCCAGGTGGCCGGGCACAGTGGCTTACACCTGTAATCCCAGCACTTTGGGAGGCTGAGGCAGGCAGATCACTTGAGGTCATGAGTTCGAGACCAGCCTGGCCTACATGGTGAAACCCCGTCTCTACCAAAAATATAAAAAATGAGCAGAGTGTGGTGGCACGTGCCTGTAATCCCAGCTACTTGGGAGGCTGTGGCAGAGAAGCACTTGAACCTGGGAGGCGGAGGTTGCAGTGAGCCAAGATCATGCCACTGCACTCCAGCCTGGGCGACAGAGCGAGACTCTGTTCTCAAAAAAAAAAAAAAAAAAAGAAAAAAAATTAGCCAGGCATGGTGGTGCACGCCTATAGTCCTAGCTACTCAGGAGGCTGAGAGGGGAGGATGGCTTGTGCCCAGGAGTTCAAGGCTGCAGTGAGCTATGATTGCACCACTGCACTCCAGCCTGAGTGACAGAACAAGACCCTGTCTCAAAAATAAAATATAAAGTCAAATAAACTCTACTTTTATTTTTTCCCTATATTTTCAGACTCTTCTCTTGTTTTTAATGCTCAATGTTCTATGGTTGCCCAAGCATGCCATGCTCTTTTTCTGTTTCTTCCAACTGAAATACTTTTCTTTGACCCTCTTAATTGGATCATTTCGAACTCATCCTTTAGATCTCAGCTTAGTTGTCAACTCCTTTTGAAAACTTATGCTGATCTCTAAGCTGGGTTAGGTATGCTCAGAGGGACCAAGCACTATGCAATTGTCTGTTAAAATGTTTAACTTCCCCACTAGTTCATGAACTCTGGGTCCATGAACTCTCCACTTTGCTCATCACTACTATCTCTAGCACCAAGCACTGTACTTAGCATATAACAACACATATGAACGAATATTATAAAGCAGGGAGACAGAAAATGAGGAACATCCAGCTGGGTGCGGTGGCTCATGGCTGTAATCCCAGCACTTTGGGAGGCCGAGGCGGGTGGATCATGAGGTCAGGAGTTCGAGACCAGCCTGACCAAGATGGTGAAACCCCGTCTGTACTAAAAATACAAAAATTAGCTGGGTGCGGTGGTGGGTGCCTGTAATCCCAGCTACTCCAGAGGCTGAGGCAGGAGAATCGCTTGAACCCGGGAGGCGGAGGTTGCAGTGAGCCGAGATGGAGCCATTGCACTCTAGCCTGGGTGATAGAGCAAGACTCCGTCTCAGAAAAAAAAAAGGAACATCCAGTTGTTTATTCAGTAGTATAAAGCAGAGACATACGTGATGTTTGCTAGACTTGTTCTGGTAATTAGAGAAGTCCCCACTTTCTAATGCAACCCAATTCCATAAATGCTTAATCCATAAAATGGATGCAGAAGATTGTACTTGCTCCAAGAGCTCACAGGTATGACCCATAATGTCATAAAAAAGTCTCCACCATTCCGACAAGAAAACTCCAATAAACTCAAAATATAAAATTAAATTAATTTTATATTTAATTAAAAACTGTAAAAACTATGTCGTGGTATATGTAGTCTTCAATTATACCAAGACTGGTAAAAATACCACACAACCAAACACATTAATACTGAGACAGGGTAGCACCCCTGTATTTTTAGATAAGATGCTATGCCCTCTCTCCAAAAAATGAAAAAGAAAAGAAAAAAACCACTGAAACAGGTTAATCTAGAAAACAGATTTCAGTATTTATATATTTTGGCTTCTAGGAAGGTATCCTCTCATTCTGAAAAACTCAGAAGCATTCTAGTTTACACATTAGTGTAACTTGATTTTGGTGAGTTTATATCAGTTTCTCACAGTTTAATTTTTTCCAGGGTGAGTTAATAAATGTTGACTCTAGGCTGAGTGCACTGGCTTATGCCTGTAATCCCAGCACTTTGGGAGGCCAAGGCGGGTGGATCACTTAGCATCAGGAGTTTGAGACCAGCCTGGCCAACATGGAGGAACGCTGACTCTAATAAAAATAAAAAACTAGCCGGGTGTGGTGGCTCACATCTGTAATCCCAGCACTTTGGGAGGCCGAGGCGGGTGGATCACCTGAGGTTGGGGAGTTCGAGACCAGACTGACCAACATGGAGAAACCCCGTTTCTACTAAAAATACAAAATTAGCCGGGTGTGGTGGCACATGCCTGTAATCCCAGCTACTCAGGGGGCTGAGGCAGGAGAATCATTTGAACCTGCGAGGCGGAGGTTGCAGTGAGCCGAGCTCATGCCATTGCACTCCAGCCTGGGCAACAAGAGCGAAAGTCAGTCTCAAAAAAAAAAAAAAACAAAAAAAAAACTAGCCAGGCGTGGTGGCCAGGCATCTGTAATCCCAGCTACTTGGGGGGCTTAGGCAGGAGAATCACTTGAACCTGGGAGGTGGGGGTTGCCATGAGTC
Organism: Homo sapiens; assembly: GCF_000001405.40. Taxonomy (NCBI): domain Eukaryota; kingdom Metazoa; phylum Chordata; class Mammalia; order Primates; family Hominidae; genus Homo; species Homo sapiens. The sequence goes on from NW_019805496.1 coordinate 136,418, forward strand.
GAGATTGCGCCACTGCACTCCAGCCTGAGTGACAGAGTGAGACTCTGTCTCAGTAAATAAATAAATAAATAAATGTTGACTCTGTCCTGCCTTATACTTAAGCACGTAGGACTTAACATTCTCAGATCTTGTAATAAAGTCAGGCAGAAGGCCGGGCTTGGTGGCTTATGCCTGTAATCCCAGCACTTTGGGAGGCCAAGGTGGGCGGATCACGAGGTCAGGAGTTCGAGACTAGCTTTGCCCACATGATGAAACCCCGTCTCTACTTAAAAATGCAAAATTAGCTGGGCGTGGTGGTGTGCGCCTGTAATCCCAGCTACTCAGTAGGAGGCTGAGGGAGGAGAATCCCTTGAACCTGGGAGACAGAGGTTGCAGTGAGCTGAGATTGCGCCATTGCACTCCAGCCTGGGAAATAGAGTGAGACTTCGTCTCAAAAAAAAAAAAAAAAAAGTCAGGCAGAATAGCAAGACCACTGTGAGTAAGTCATATTACCAATATGATGGATGTTTTCCTTGATGACCTCACATTCAATTGGCCATCTTGGAGCCTGCAGTGGCCTCTTGGTAGACAAAATGGAAAAGAGCTCTTGGGGTTCTCGAAGACGTGGGTTTACTTCATCCAACTCATCATAAAGAAGCTGTCTGCTCCTAAGATGTGGTAAACTCAGCATATGTGAATCTGCCAAAGGGAAAGAGAGTAAGTGAACATCTTCCTTTTCCTCCTTGGGAACTTTACTGCTCATCTATAACAATGAAACTATTTTAAGCATTATATTAAAATATTAGCACAGATATGTGATTCTCTGACATGTTTCTCCTTCAAGAAGATTTAGTCCAGAATAACAGGTTCAAAATTATAAAACGTTAAAATTCTGCACAGTCTATTAAATGTTTAAATATAAAGCTTTAGGGTAAATTAAAAACCTTTTAAAAATTAAATTTAATGGTCCAAGACATTTCAACAGTGGGTTACAATGAATAAGAAGTTACTTAATATGTTTTATTATTTTTGTTTAGCTAGTGGCAAGAGAGGAAATTTCAATATATCCATTAGCATTTTAGAAAAAATTACATAAAACTTTATTCTTTTTTTCTTCTTTTTTATCAACTATAGTGAAATAATCTATAAATAAAATTTCAGGGCCATAATATAACCATACAAAGGAAAGACAGACATAAAACAAAGAAGATGGAAAGAGGAAGGGGAGAGAAGGCATGAGATGGGGCAGAAGAGAGGAAGAGCTCTTGGGAAAGAAAGAATGAGAAAAAAGGGAAGAAAAGAAAGGCTTTCAGGAAGATAAAAAAGAAAGGAGGGGCCAGGCGTGGTGGCTCAAGCCTGTAATCCCAGAACTTTGGGAGGCTGAGGCGGGCTGATCATCTGAGTTCAGGAGTTCGAGACCAGCCTGGCCAACGTGGTGAAATCCTGTCTCTACTAAAAACATAAAAATTAGCTGGGCGTGGTGGCACATGCCTGTAATCCCAGCTACTCGGAAAGCTGAGGCAGGAGAATCCTTGAATCTGGGAGGTGGAGGTTGCAGTGAGCTGAGGCCGCGCCACTGCATCCAGCCCAGGCAAGAGTGAAAGTCTGTGTCAAAAAAAAAAAAAAAAGAAAAAGAAAAAGAAGAAAGGGAATGAGGAAAAAAGAAAAAAATGGAAATGAAAGGGGGAACTAAAGGCTGAGGGTCCTTCAGTGCTCATCAGGCATGAATCCCATTCCTGTCTGGTAATTCTTAGGTCTGGTGGGAACAGCAGGTGATGAAGACATAGTCCAAAAAAGGAGCTTGAATCTTCTGGTCTGGAAGGACATGAAATACCTCTGTTGATGGCTTCTATCTGTCTGTGCACAGCTGAAGATAAACTGATAGGCCCTAGAAAGAGGAAGAGGAGGCACCCTTGGTGTCAGGGATCGTTGTCTTCTTTTCTTCTGTCTGCTATCCCCATCCCTTCTCATTTCCTATGCTCACTCTGGACCCCTGCATTTCTATCTAAATCTTTCTCCCATACTTTAATGGGGGAAATAAAAGGAAATAAACATTTGAAAAGATAGTAAAGCTGCACAATGTCACTCATAACTAAAGAAATATAAAGCAGTTTGGGCACGGTAGCTCACACATGTAATCCTAGCACTTTGGGAGGCCAAGGCGGGCGGATTACCTGAGGTTGGGAGTTCAAGACCAGCCTGGCCGGCTGGGCGCGGTGGCTCATGCCTGTAATCCCAGCACTTTGGGAGGCTGAGGTGGGCGGATCACGAGGTCAGGAGATCGAGACCATCCTGGCTAACATGGTGAAATCCTGTCTCTACTAAAAATACAAAAGATTAGCCCGGCGTGGTGGCAGGCGCCTGTAGCTCCAGCTACTCGAGAGGCTGAGGCAGGAGAATGCCGTGAACCCGGGAGGCGGAGCTTGCGGTGAGCCTAGATTGCGCCACTGCACTCCAGCCTGGGGCACAGAGCAAGACTCCGTCTCAAAAAAAAAATAAATAAAAATAAAAATAAATAATTGTGGAATATGACAGGTGCCCTTATAAAGAATGGGGTAAAGGCAGGAGAGGTGGCGTGTGCCTATAGTCCCACCTAGTCCAGAGGCTGCAGGGTAGGGGTTGGGTTGTGGTCACTTGAGCCCAGGAATTTGAGTCCAGCCTCAAAAGAATGTGTTTTTTGTTTTGTTTGTGGTGCTCATATGAAAAGGCTTTCTCTTTTGTTTTTTTAAGACAGGGTTGCTGGGTGTGGTGGCTCACACCTGTAATCCCAGCACTTTGGGAGGCCAAGGCAGGCGGATCATTTGAGGTCAGGAGTTCGAGACCAGCCTGGCCAACATGGTGAAACCCTGTCTCTACTATTCCAAAAAAAAAAAAAAAAAAAAAAGAATTAGCCGGGCCTGTAATCCCAGCACTTTGGGAGGCCAAGGCAGGCGGATCACTTGAGGTCAGGAGTTCAAGACCAGCCTGGCCAATATGGTGAAACCCTGTCTCTACTAAAAAAAAAAAAAAAAAAAAAAAATTTAGCCAGGCATGGTGGCACGTGCCTGTAATCCTAGCTACTAGGGAGGCTGAGGCAGGAGAATTGCTTTAACCCGGCAGGTGGAGGTTGCAGTGAGCAGAGATCGTGCCTTTCTACTCCCTGCCAGGAGCTTTAGCACACAGAATATAGGAAACTTTTGGGCTGGTGTAAGCAAACGTATAAGATACATACCTGAAAAGGGAAATACTACATCAAGGGTAAATTACTGTTTTAATTTTCCCAGCTGTGTTAGTCCATTTTCACACTGCTGAAAAAGACATACCTGAGACTGGGCAATTTACAAAAGAAAGAGGTTTAATGGACTTACACTTCCACGTGGCTGGGGAGGCCTCACAATCATGGCAGAAGGCAAGGAGGAGCAAGTCATGTCTTAAATAAATGGCACCAGGCCAAGAGAGAGCTTGTGCAGGGAAACTCCCCCTTATAGAACTATCTGATCTCGTGAGACTTATTCACTATCACAAGGACAGCATGGAAAAAACCTGCCCCCATGATTCAATTACCTCCCACCAGGTCCCTCCCACAACACGTGGGAATTTAAGATGAGATTTGGGTGGGGACGCAGCCAAACAATATCACCAGCTATTGCCAAATTGCCTTCCTAAAAGTCTACTTACTCACATTGGCAACAGCAGTATAGGAAAGTGTGTTCCTCCATACCCTAACCTACACTACGTATAAGTTTCTTTAAAATTTTGCCCAAATCTCATAATTTAAAAAAATGGTAACTTGCTATTTTGATTTGCATTTTCAGTTAGTAGTGGAGAATCTTTTCATATGCTTATTGACTATGTTTTTCCATGAACTACTTGTTCATGTCTTTTACTCATTTTTCTATTTGGTCATCTTTTTTGTTTGTGTTTATTTAGAGAAAGGGTCTCTCTATGTTGCCCAGGCTGGACTCAAAATCCTGGGCAATTCTGGGGCTCAAATGATCCTCCTGCCTCAGGCTCCCAAGTGGCTGAGACTACAGCCATTTGCCACCATGTTCAGATTTAGTCATCTTTTTTTTTTTTGAGATGGAGTCTCGCTCTGTCACCCAGGCTGGAGTGCAGTGGTGCAATTTCCTCTCACTGCAACCTCTGCCTCCCAATTTCAAGCGACTCTCCTGCCTCAGCCTCCTGAGTAGCTGGGATTACAGGTGGGCACCATCACGTTGGGATAATTTTTCTATTTTTAGTAGAGACGGGGTTTCACCAAATTGGCCAGGCTGGCTTCGAACTCCTGACCTCAGGTGATCCGCCTACCTTGGCCTCCTAAAGTGCTGGGATTACAGGCATGAGCCACTGTGCCCAGCCCAATCATCTTTTATTAACACTTACTGATTTGAAAGAGCTGTTATATGTAAAGGAAATGAACCCTTTGGCATATTTGTTGCAAATTTTTTTTTTTTTAGTTTGTCCTTTACTTTATCAATGGTATTTTTTCCAAAGAGAAGTTTAAATTTTTCCTTTAAAAATTATCAGCTGGGCACAGTGGCTCATGCCTGTAATCCCAGCACTTTGGGAGGCCAAGGCAGGCGGGTCGCGAGGTCAAGAGATCAAGACCATCCTGGTCAACATGGTGAAACCCCGTCTCTACTAAAAATACAAAAATTAGCTGGGCATGGTGGCGCGTGCCTGTAGTCCCAGCTACTCGGGAGGCTGAGGCAGGAGAATCACTTGAAGCCAGGAGGCGGAGGTTGTAGTGAGCCGAGATGGAGCCACTGCACTCTAGCCTTTTGACAGAGCAAGACTCTGTCTCAAAAAAAAAAAAAAAATTATCAATATTGGCTGGGTGTGTTGGCTCGCACCTGTAATCCCAGCACTTTGGGAGGCTGAGGTGGGCCGATCACCTGAGGTTGGGAGTTTGAGACCAGCCTGGCTAACATGGCGAGACACTGTCTCTACTAAAAGTACAAAAATTAGCCAGGAGTGGTGGCGGGCGCCTGTAATCCCAGATACTCAGGAGGCTGCAGCAGGAGAATAGCTTGAACCCGGGAGGCAGAGGTTGCAGTGAGCTGAGATAGTGCTACTGTACTCCAGCCTGGGCGACAAGAGCGAGACTCCGTCTCAAAACAAAACAAAACAATATTGTATTTTACGGTTTTCAGATCTTGTGTCATTCAAAGGTTTTAAGTAAAAAAGGGACCTAATCAGATTTGCATATAAAAAACACTGCTATGTGGAAAATTGATTGGAGGGGGCGGGGCAGCACAGAACAAGAGGAGCCAGGAGACCAATTAGGAGGCTGAATGATGACAGCTTGGATGGGAGGTGGTAGGACTCTGAGGGTGGGGGTGTAAGGGTAGCGGTGGAGGTTGGGGATAAGCAGGGGGGGTTGTAGAGAAAAGAGGGGTGGATCAGTGTTTGGTTTGAGGGAGAAGTTCAACTGGATTCCTCCCCTTGGATTTTAGAAGAAACCTGTGTCTCTGCAAAAAATTATTTTTTTGTGTAAGCTAGCTAGAACTGTTTTCCACTGCTCCTATGCAAAGAGCCTTAGTAAGCATTATCCATCAAACTGTAAAAATCAATGTATTACTTTTTTTTTTTTTTTTGAGACAGGGTCTCACTCTGTTGCCCAGGCTGGAATGCAGTGGCGCAATCTCAGCTCACCGCAACTTCCGCCTCCCAGGTTCACACAATCCTCCTGCCTCAGCCTCCCCAGTAGCTGGGACCACAGGCACCTGCCACCATGCCCAGCTAATTTTTGTATGTTTCTGTAGAGACAGAGTTTTGCCGTGTTGCCCAGGCTGGTCTCGAGCTCCTGAGCTCAAGTGATCTGCCTGCCTCAGCAATCCAAAGTGCTGGGATTACAGGCGTGAGCCACGATGCCAGGTGTATTACTCTTTTTTTTTTTGAAACAGAATCTCACTTTGTCACCCAGGCTGGAGTACAGTGGCCCAACCTCGGCTCATTGCAACCTCCGCCTCCTGGGTTCAAGTGATCCTCCCACCTCAGCCTCCCAAGTCCTGAGATTACCAGTGTGTGTCACCACACCCGGCTAATTTTTATATTTTTAGTAGAGCTGGGGTTTTGCCATGCTGGTCAGACTGGTCTCAAACTCCTAACCTCAAGTGATCCTCCCACCTCAGCCTCCCAAAGTGCTGAGATTACAGGCGTGATCACCATGCCCGGCTAGAAAATACAGTATTTTGATTTAAACCTGTAATCCAAAGTAGATTTAGAGAGAAGTTTTGAATGGTGTTAGAAACAGAGGCCAAGGCTGCTCCCTGGCCTCTCCCATGTTAGAGCAGATTCTTCTGAATACTCAGAGGAGTTACTAGGCAATGAGGTTCTAGAGGTCACACATACTGATTGTTACTCACATAGAAGCTTCTCCTTTTGCAGGGTGTCTGGTATCAAATCATCTTTTTCCCCAAGAGAGCCATTCAACAGGCATTGAGGGTTATTCTTCCGAACATGCTGATGCGTAGCAGAGTTTGGTAAACTGCCTCTCTGAGCTAAAAATTGGCAGTTTAATTAAAGTTGCTGGAAGGCCGACTCATCACTTCTAACATCTAGGTCAATACCAAACCACTACTCCTTTTATCACCACCCACCACCACAGCCCTTTGCAATGAATACACTGCATTTTTCAAAGAGCTTTCATATTCCAACTTATGTGAGTGAAGCATAATTATCCCCACCTTACAGCTGAGGAAATGGATGTGAAGAGGAGACTTGAGAAGCAGCCTGGTGTAGTGGAGTGAGAAAGGACTTGGCAGGCAGAAAGATTCTGAAGCTACAAGGGCTGTGTTGGAACTCAGAAAATGATAGCCAAAGGCTGGGAGGGTTGCTTGAGCCTGGGATGTGGAGGCCACTGCCCTCCAGCCTGAGTGACAGAGCGAGATCCTGTCTCAAAAAAAAAAAAAAAGAAAAAAAAAATTATGGCCCAAAGGTTTGGCACTTTGGCATACTGAACACTTTGAATTCAACATAGAAAGGGTTCCAACCCTCAATAACATGCAGTTTACCCATGTAACAAACCTGCACATGTACCCTCTAATCTATAATAAAAGTTGAAAAAATAAATTAAAAAAAAAATAGAAAAGGCTTGCAGAAGCTGCCTCAGAATCAAGGACTTTCTGACCTCTCCTGTCTCCCCACTACCCCAAGAGCAGGAAGGGACTCCTCTCTGGAATTCCTTCTAAGGAAACTTCTTTCCAAAAGAAAAGCAGTTATTTTAAGACCCCTTCCCTAGGAATCTCATCAAATAACCACTAAAGATGAACCACCGAAGAGGAGACTAAAAATTGTCACGACACCCAGATAGACTTTTCATCAATTCTGAGGGCAACTCAGAGATTACCTGGGCAACTATTTGCATAAGACAACCTTTCTTCAGTGAAGCTCCTCCCCTCACTTGCTTGCCACCCCTCCCCGGAGCTCAGAGGAACTTTGTCCCAGGACATGGTTTTTGGAGCTCATTCGTTTCTCCTGAATATCATTTACTACCTTTCACAATTGCCTACACAACCCCTCCCTGAATGTCTCTCTCCCCATGAAGAGGGTATTGAAACTTCAACAATCTGGAGTGCAGTAGCGCAATCTCAGCTCACTGCAACCTCTGCCTCCCGGGTTCAAGCATTTCTCCTGCCTCCGCCTTCCGAGTAGCTGGGATTACAGGCGTGCAACACCATGCCCAGCTAATTTTTTGTATTTTTAGTAGAGGTAGGGTTTTGCCATGTTGGCCAGGCTGGTCTCGAACTCCTGACCTCAGGTGATCTGCCCACCTTGGCCTCCCAAAGTGCTGGGATTACAGGCGTGAGCCACCACGCCCGGCCTGAAGTTCTTGACTTTGTATGGAAAGTAAAAAATTGTATGATGACCAGCCTGAGCAACATAGTAAGACCATGTCTCTACAAAAAAAATTTTTAAATTAGCTGGGTGTGCTGGCATGTGCTTGTGTTCCCTTCTAGTTGGGAGGTAGGAGGATCGCTTAAGCCTGGGAAGTCAAGGCTGCAATGAGCTGTGATTGCAACATTGCACTCCGGCCAAGGCAAAAAACAGACCGTCTAAAAAATAAATAAATAAATATCATAATAGTTTTGCTGTCATACTTCATATTGCAAAAGTAATGGCCACAGTACATAAGTACTTAGTTATGGTGGAAAAGGCATTAAATTTGTGGGTGGAAGATAGAAGTCTGTTCTGAATGACAGTGATTTGGATTTAGTACTATCAGTGGTTTCAGGCCATCCAGGGGCCTTGGAACCTCCCCCCTGTAGATAAGGGGGGACTAATGTAGTTAATAAAAAAGTTTAACAACATTCTTTGATAGAAATAAAATTAATACTAATACAATGAATATTACTCCATCTTATTTCAATATACCAGTAACAAAGTTAGGAAATTAAATTTTAAGAAGATCAATATTTATAATAGCATAAAAATATGAAGTATTATGAAAAACTATAAATCTTTATTGGGAGACATTAAAGACCTAAGTAAATGGAGATAAATATTATAGTCATAGATTGGAGAACCCAGTGTTGAAAAATTGCCAGTTCTTGTGAAATTTGATCTACAGATTTAATGCAATTCCTATAATCTTTTAAAATGTCATAAGCGGGCTGGGGACAGTGGCTCACGCCTGTAATCCCAGCACTTTGGGAGGCCAAGGTGGGTGGATCACCTTAGGTCAGGAGTTCGAGAACAGCCTGGCCAACATGAGGAAACCCTGTGTCTACTAAAAATACCAAAATTAGGCCGAGCGTGGTGGCTCATGCCTGTAATCTTGGCATTTTGGGAGGCTGAGGTGGGTGGATCACCTGAGGTCAGTTCGAGACCAGCCTGGCCAACATGGTGAAACCGTTTCTACTAAAAATACAAAATTAGCCAGGCATGGTGGTACACGCCTGTAATCCCAGCTACCTGGGTACTTGGGAGGCTGAGGCAGGAAAATCGCTTGACCCCGCGAGGTGGAAGTTGCAGCAAGCCTAGATTGCACCACTGCACTCCAGCCTGGGCAACAAGAGCATAACTCCGTCTCAAGAATAAAAAAAACACTGGGCGCGGTAAGCTCACGTCTGTAATCCCACCACTTTGGGAGGCCTAGGCAGGTGGATCACCTGAGGTCAGGAGTTCAAGACCAGCCTGGCCAACATGTTGAAACCCCGTCTCTACTACAAATACACAAAAAAATTAGCTGGGAGTGGTGGTGGGCGCCTGTAATCCCAGCTACTTGGGAGGCTGAGGCAGGAGAATCTCTTGAACCCAGGAGGTGGAGGTCGCAGTGAGCCGAGATTGCGCCATTGCATTTCAGCCTGGGTGAAAAGAGTGAGACTCTATCGCAAAAAAAAAAAAAAAAAGAAAGAAACAAAAATTACCCAGGCGTGGTGGCTCGTGCCTGTAATCCCAGCTACTCAGGAGGCTGAGGCAGGAGAATCTCTTGAACCTGGGAGGCAGAGGTTGCAGTGAGCCGAGATCGTGCCACTGCACTCCAGCCTGGGCGACAGGGTGAGACTTCATCTCAAAATAAATAAAAAATAAAATAAAATGTCATAAGCCAATTGCAAAATTTATTTTTTTAAATTTTTATTTATTTATTTTTTTTGAGACAGAGTCTCACTCTGTCGCCCAGGCTGGAGTGCAGTGGCTTGATCTCGGCTCACTGCAAGCTCCGCCTCCCAGGTTCACGCCATTCTCCTGCCTCAGCCTTCCCAGTAGCTGGGACTACAGGCACCCACCACCACGCCCGGCTAATTTTTTTGTATTTTTAGTAGAGACGGGGTTTCACCGTGTTAGCCAGGATGGTCTCGATCTCCTGACCTCGTGCTCCACCCGTCTCGGCCTCCCAAAGTGCTGTGATTACAGGTGTGAGCCACCGTGCCCGGCCGCCAATTGTAAAATTTATATAGTAAGGCAAAGACTCAAGAACAGCCGTGACACTTCTGAAGAACAAGGTGGGAAGACATGTCTTTCCAGATAAAGACTATTTTAATGCCATATAGTAATTAAGAGACAGTGATACTGGTAAAGGATAGCCAAACAGACCAATGGAATAGAGAGCCCAGAAACAGACCTTTGTATTAAGTGATGCTGTCTACTTGACAGAGGTGACCCGCAGATCAATGGGGAAAGGAAGTACTTTTCACTAATGGTAGAGGAAAAAGTATTTATTTGTCAATGCAAATTATTTATTAGTCTACCCAAGTGCAACCCTCCCAGCTAACGAAGCAATTTTCCTCTTGAGTCCAGGAAAGGTGATACTAGATAAGAACATGGTATTACCTTTAAAGTAGCCATAATATTGGAGGTGACGGTACATAAAGTCTTCATAAGGATCAGGAATAGTCTGTGAAAGGAAAGGCCACTTCAATCAAGATAATGTTTTCAAACCATAATAGACTCAACAAAAAGTACATGAGCGTTGTTGCATAGGACTAGACTAAACCAAGCGAGCTGCATTCCATGCGAATTATTCTATCGTGGGGATCAAGATCTCCAGCTGAGAAAAGATGCCACCAGAACATCCCTTCTCATCTAGTAGCAGATTTCTGTGGAGTTCCCGAAGAAATGGAGTTCCCCGAAGAAATTTCTGTGGCTTTCCGTGTTGTGTACCGACCTGCTTTAGGTGCGTTTCCAAAGCTGGGAACATGTTACTTCTGGATGGTAGGCTGAAAACTAGTCAGTGACATTAGCATCCAGTCGCAAACCCTGCCCAATTTCCAAATAGGCAGCTGATTACACAAGAGAAGCTACAAAGCCACAAGAGGACAAGTGAAAAAACTGCCAATACCTCCCCGGGCGCCCCCCAGCTCCCTCTTGACTTCAGAAAACCCTGCCAACCCAGCTTCTCCTCAGCTAAACAAGGTGGTCACGCCGAGGCCAGAGGTGCATCTGAGACAGGGAGGGCAGCGTATCTTCCCGCTTCTTCTTCCCAAGGTGCTGGCCCCATGCTTCCCTTTCCCTGAGAAAGGAGATGCTCGCCACAGGAAAGTGAAAGAAATGGGTATGGGAGCACGCGACGAAGTCGTCTCGGTAGGTGCCGATGGAAAAAGGTCAGGGGGTTGGGAAAGTGGGCCCTAAAGATTGAATTTAGGGTTCAGAGGAACCTGGTCTGGGGCAGGTGGTGAGGGGGTTTCCTAAGGGTAGGAGCGGGGAAGGAGAGCAGAAACTTCCCAGGAGGGCAGAGCGATGGATGCGACCGCCTTCGCGCCCCGGCCCGTCCCAAGCAGCACGGATGGCTGCGGCAGAGAAGCTCCAGCGAGGCAGGCGGCCACCGCACTTAAGTACAGAGGCCAAGCAGTGTGCGGGCAAGGGGACAAACTCGCTGCACCCGCCCGCCACCGCCTTCTGTGAGGGCCCGGGTAGTCTAGCAACCGAAAGCAGGAAGCGGAGAAAGGGCGGGGCGGTCGGGCGCTTCCGGGGAGCTAGGCCTCGCCCCCAAGGAGGGAGCGGGGACCCCGGGAAGGTCTGCAACATGTATGGCGGGCAGCGGCTTTCTTCCCCTCATACATCACAGCCCCAGCCTCGGAATCGAAACCGCATTGATGAGTACGATGCCAGTAGCCTTCAACATACTTCCAAGCTGGTTTGCTGTTGGCTTTAGATAACTGTTATGCATAATTTGCTCTAAGAGAGCTGCTGCTTCTCTCCTTTCACCTTAACATTCTCTCCACTGCACAGCTAGAAAGGAAAAATTACCTTCTACACTGCAAATCTTAAGAAACAGAGCTAACAAATTCAAATCACACATTTTGATTAGGTTTAAAAAAATCAATTATATGCATAGAAATTTACTCCAGGCCAGGCGCGGTGGCTCTCGCCTGTAATCCCAGAACTTTGGGAGGTCGAGAGTTGGAGACTAGCCTGACCAACATGGAAAAACCCCATCTCTACTAAAAATACAAAATTAGCTGGGTGTGGTGGCGCATGCCTGTAATCCCAGCTACTCGGGAGGCTGAGGCAGGAGAATCACTTGAACCTGGGAGGCGGAGGTTGCGGTGAGCCGAGATCGTGCCATTGCACTCCAGCCTGAGCAACAAGAGCGAAATTCTGTCTCCAGAAAAAAAAAAAACAAAAAACCAACAACAAAAAAATAAATATACTACAATAAAATTCAAACACGTGTCTTTGGTTAACTATATATGAATATAACCGTATCTGTTACTTTTATCAGTGGGGGGAAAAAAGCTATAAAGCACCTTTTTTTCTGAAATGTTAACCATATTACATCATTGCCAGGAATTAAGTAGGTAAAATATTATCTAATATGGCTATTAACCAATCTAGATATTATAGATAATATTAGACCCCAAAACTTTGATCACACAGCACCATCTGGGACTAGAAGCCTGTTTGTCTAAACTGGCCCCACCACTCCCCATTAAAGATCTCCTGCTCATTTTCTTGAAAGCTGTTGTTAAATGTTTGCACCTTGCATTGTATATGCTTAGAAAAAAAAACAAGTCCTGGTTACATAATCAGAATAACAGGAGTTGACGAGCAAAAGGATAACCCATCAGGATTATAAAAAAAGCTTTATTAGTGCATATATACAAATTTACAAGGTCAGAAACTGGAGAAATACAAAGAGCTTTAAAACACAATTTGCCGTTTCCTCAGTTTAAAGTGACTTTTACCTGATTGTGATACAACAGAAAGTACAGAACAGTAAACTGCTTTTTAAATACTGGAATTTTATGGAGAATACATTCACATAAAGAAAGGAGGTGAATTTTGTTTTGGAACAGGGTTAAGACAATGGAGACATTAATACATAGAGTGTCTTGTTGTATTTACTGCCACATACTTGAGGGGAAATTCTCAAAATCAAGGATATGAACACCTGCTGCTGCCTGTATGCCACCTAGTGTGCGAAACGACCGAGCTACCAGTTCTAGAACTTATGAGAACTACTCTAAAGAGTGTGGCCATCTATCAGCACGAGGTAAACCACTTAGACCTCAGCACTTCAGGGGTGGCCGACTAGAGAAAAGAGGCCAGAAAAAGCTTCAGACAATTCCAGTCAAGCAAGGTAGAATGCAGAGCTGCCTTCTGAATTGCACTTGTTCTGGAGGAGAAGTTAATTCTTCACTTTTGTCAGGGAGTCCTCTACAGAAGTGTTATACTCATGAGCCACATGTTCTTCAAGACTGATGAGGTTAATACACCTAACATGCTAAGTTTGCCAGTTTGAGAATAAAGGCAGCATGGTCAAAGCAATTCCAATCACCTCATCCCTTTGCAAAAACAGAAAAATTACATTTCACAAAAGTGAAAACTTTGTATGCATACACTCTTGCCCAGGAAATTTATAAGATCTCCCCCATAACATTTATAGTTTATTTGACAATAAAACTGGTTAAGACTTTGAACTGAACACAAAACAAACAATAATACAAAAAAGTTTTAAAAACTTAAAAACTATGTGTTTGGAGCCATTTTCCTTCTCTTCAGCCTTGCTCTCCAATCCTCAGGAAGGGCTTCAAAATTAGCATTTCTCTCTGCCATGCCACTGTGAAAACAACATACAGATTATTTTAGTGGAAAGAAAAATTAACAAAAGTATTCATTTCCCAGCAAATAAAAATCTAACTGAAATTAAAAACCTGATCTATCACGTCTATGTTTATGAAAATCTTTTGTTTCTCAGCCAAACATCAGTATATTCTTCATCAAACTTCTTCATTCTGATAGGTCAACCAAACACTACCCCAGTTTTACGTATATGTCTAAGTGCATATTTATTTATTTATTATTGACTGATTGAGACGGAATTTTGCTCTTGTTGCCCAGTCTGGAGTGCAATGGTGCGATCTCGGCTCACCGCAACCTCCGCCTCCCAGGTTCAAGCGATTCTCCTGCCTCAGCCTCCCCTCAGAGTAGCTGGGATTACAGGCATGTGCAACCATGCCTGGCTAATTTTTTTTTTTTTTAAGTAGCGACAGGGTTTCTCCATGTTGGTCAGGCTGGTCTCGAACTCCCAACCTCAGGTGATCTGACTGCCTTGGCCTCCCAAAGTGCTGGGATTACAGGTGTGAGCCACCGTGCCCGGCCTTATTTATTTTATATAAATATACCTCCAATAACCATTAAAGGCACACTGAAGAAATGAAACACGTTCTATTAGAGTTTTTCTTAGCCCACAGGAGTTATGATTCTTCAGGGCAGATATATCTAATCCTCAGTCTACCAACAGGGACCCTGGGATCTAATGTTTTTTTTTCTGTTTTTGAGATGGAGTCTTGCTCTGTTGCCCAGACTGGAGTGCAGTGGCACAATCTCGGCTCACTGCAACCTCTGCCTCCTAGGTCCAAGCGATTCTCCTGCCTCAGCCTCCCAAGTGGCTTGGACTACAGGCGCCTGCCACCATGTCCAGCTAATTTTTATATTTTTAGTAAAGACAGGTTTTCACTATGTTGGCCAGGCTGGTCTCGAACTCCTGACCTCGTGATCCACCCACCTCGGCTTCCCAAAGTGCTGGGATTACAGATGTGAGCCCCTGTGCCCGGCCGGATCTAATGTTTTTGAGTTTCTCTTTCAAGTAGTTTTATTTGTAAGGATTAAAATTCAAATTCTATCTTGCAATTAACAGAATGGATGCATTAGAACCTTTAATAAAAACTAAGCTAGAACCTATCAGAGATTAATTTGAAATCTGGCATCAGTAATAGACAGCTATATTCTAGGTTATACACTGACAATTGATGAACAGTGAGTTGCAGTCAAAGAATGCTGCCCATTTCAGAATGTATACCTTCAAAACAAGGAAAATATGAAATAAAAAATTGTACTTGCTGTGTCTAAAGTCTTTAAAATTTCTAGAATTTTTGAGAAAGCCATCTTCTTGCCTCAGCCTCCCAAGCATCTAGGACTACAGGTGTGAGCCACAGTGCCCACCCAACATGTTTTTTTTTTTTTTTTTTGAGATGGAGTCTTGCTCTGTCGTCCAGGCTGGAGTGCAATAGCACGGTCTTGGCTCACTGCAACCTCCGCCTCGCGGGTTCAAACAATTCTTCTGCCTCAGCGATTACAGGCATTCGCCACCAGGCCCAGCTAATTTTGTATTTTTAGTAGAGATGGGGTTTCACCATGTTGGCCAGGCTGGTCTCGAATTCCTGACCTCGTGATCCACCCGCCTTGGCCTCCCAAAGTGCTGGGATTACAGGCGTGAGCCACCGTGCCCAGCCCAACATGTGCTTTCATCATAAAAAATATTTCTGACCTGAGTGTGGTGGCTCACACTTGTATTCCCAACACTCTGGGAGGCTGAGGTGCAATTACTTGAAGCCAGTTCTCCCTATCCTTTTATTCTAGTCAAGCAAGGTAGTGAAGGATTTTCTTACCTAGAAGAGGTTCATTTAGTTCCTAGTGTGGTGTGCTCTCTCATTAACTTCTGTTCTAGAATAAGTGCAATTGAGAAGGCAGCTCTGTATTCTACCCTGCTTGACTGAAATATAGGGACAGGGGAAAAACTTTATTCTAATTCTGTAAATCATTTGTACAATAATGTGTGTGTGTATAAAAGGGTCTAATTCTATAAATTATTTGTAAAATAAGTTAATATGTTATGTGTGTATGTGTGTGTGTGTGTGTGTGTGTGTGTGTGTGTGTGTGTATAAAAGGGTCCACTGGATCTAGATAGTAAATGATGTACTGAGAGTTAAGACAGGCCTTTGCCTAAGACCAACAATCAACTGGACAAAGTATTACAACTCTGTTGTTTCTGATTTTGAAAAAAGGCTAGCCCATAATTTCTATAAGGAATTAAACATGTTTATAAATTAGAAACCTTTAGATAAATTTACAAGCTGTGATTTTAAGAATATGTCTATTCTAATGCATCTATAACAACCACAACCTACTCCATCTCATAGTAGGTCTCAACCTACTCCAAAACCCCATCTCATCTGTGTTTCCTTTTCTTTTACCTAACCAGCTGCTGCTGTTTCCACTCTTCAATTCGCTTCTGTGCAGTTGATTCCCGATCCTCTTCACTGGAACTAGAATTGTCCTCTTCATCTAACTCACGCTGGATACTCTGCCACTTTTTTACCAAAGATGGCATTTTGGTCTTACTCTTCTTTGCCTGTAACAAAGGTTAAAGGTCAAAAGGAATAGAAAACATAAAATAAGGATAAGCGTCCTCTACAATGGAGGTCAGGATCCTTTTCCCAGTTCTAAAGAATATGCACACTTTAAAAAAGAAAGTAAATACCATTCTAAGTTCTTGCCATAAATTTCTTACCAATTATAAACAAAAAGGCTTGGTTAAAAATCTATAAAGCAGGCCAGGCGCGGTGGCTCAAGCCTGTAATCCCAGCACTTTGGGAGGCTGAGGCGGGCGGATCACAAGGTCAGGAGATCGAGACCATCCTGGCTAACATGGTGAAACCCTGTCTCTACTAAAAATACAAAAAATTAGCCAGACGTGGTGGCGGGCGCCTGTAGTCTCAGCTACTCGGAAGGTTGAGATAGGAGAATGGCATGAACCTGGGAGGCGGATCTTGCAGTGAGCCGAGATCACCACTGCACTCCAGCCTGGGCTACAGAGGGAGACTCCGTCTCAAAAAAATAAATAAATAAATAAATAAATAAATAAAATCTATAAAGCTTTGTAAATGCGGTATTTTATAAAATTATGTCATATAAACTTCCTTTAACCTCCCTATCCTATGTAATTCAAAATATTGCCTTTATCGCGTCTCAGAATTACAGTGTTCCCGTTTTCAAATTTTAAATAGATGCAGTGTTCCTCCCAAGTGATTTAAAAAAAAAAAAAAAAAGCTAAAAAATAAAGCTGGAAAGAGCAACAAAGCAAACTGCCATATTAGCCGGGGGCGGTGGCGGCGGCGGTGGGCGACTGTAGTCCCAGCTGCTTGGGAGGCTGAGGCAGGAGAATCGCTTCAACCCGGGAGTCAGAGTTTGCAGTGAGCCAAGATTGCACCATTGCACTGCAGCCTGGGCAACACAGTGAGACTCTGTCTCAAATAAATAAATAGCCATAATTAAATATGAAAAAAAGCAAACAGATTTTTAAAAATATCGGCTGGGCACGATGGCTCATGCCTGTAATCACTTTGGGAGGCCGAGGCGGGAGGATCACGAGGTCAGGTGATCGAGACCATCCTAGCTAACACGGTGAAACCCCGTCTCTACTAAAAATACAAAACATAAGCCTGGCGTGGTGGTGGGCGCCTGTAGTCCCAGCTACTCTGCACTTCAGCCTGGGCGACAGAGCAAGACTCCATCTCAAAAATAAATAAATAAATAAATAAAAATAAATAAATAAATAAAATAAAACATCAATGGGGCGAGGCATGGTGGGTCACACCTGTAATCTCAGCACTTTGGGAGGCCAAGGTGGGTGGATCACTTGAGGCCAGGAGTTTGAGACCAGCCTGGCCAACATGACAAAAACCCACCTCTACTAAAAATATAAAAAATACAAAAATTAGCCTGGCATGGTGGTGCACATGCCTGTCGCCCCAGCTACTCAGGAGACTGAGGCATGAGAAGTGCTTGAACTGGGAGGCAGAGGTTGCAGTGAGCTGAGAGCATGCCACTGCACACCAGCCTGGGTGACAGAGACTCTGTCTCCCCTCCCCCTGCCAAAAAAAATCAATGATACAGTTAGTTCTAAGAGAAGGTATAATGATATAATATTTTTTCTTTTCGCTTACCTTCATTGTCTAAATCGTCTATAATAAACATACAGATTTTTTGCCCCTTTTCTTGAGACTCCGTTTCAAAAGGTGGTATTTGTAAATGTGGTATTTTATAAAATCAGGTCATATAAATTTCCTTTAACCTCCCTACCCTATGCAATTCAAAATATTGCCTTTATCTCGTCTCCTCAGAATTACAGCGTTCCCATTTTCAAATTTTAAATAGATGCAGCATTCCTATCAAATGATTAAAAAAAAAAAAAAAGCTAAAAAATAAAGCTGGAAAGACCAACAAAGCAAACTGCCATATTAGCTGGGGGTGGTGGCGGATGTCTCTGACTCAAAAAAAAAAAAAAAAAAAAAAAAAAAAAAAAAAAAAAAAAAAAAAGGAAAAAAAAATATTTCTCATAGATTTATTTTTCCCTTATCTACTCCCAAGCCACCCCCTGCCAGAAGAAAGGTTCTACAAAAGCAGAGGGTTTTTTTTTTTTTTGTCTGTTTGATGTACTGCTAAATCCTAAGCCCCTAGGGAGAGTATCTGACAAATATATTAGATATTGATAAGACCAATTTTTATCCCCGTTTTTCTTTTTTTTTTTTAAGACAAAGTTTCACTTTTGTCACCCAGGCTGGAATGCAGTGGTGCGATCTCAGCTCACTGCAACCTCAGCCTCCCAGGTTCAAGCGACTCTCCCGCCTCAGCCTCTTTAATAGCTTATCCCTATGCTTTTTAAGAGAAGCAGTTGTATGTTTGAAGACCCGTCTGGGTGATGCTGGCTCAACAAGTAGGAGTTGACATGACTGAGTGCTGTACTCATGTGAGGACTAGGTATGGGGGCCCAAGCTGATTCTCCTCCCAGCACTTGAGACAAACAGATTTCTTAAATAAGGTCCCCCCACTGAGAAAGTAAGCTGGACATTTCAATTTCTTTTTTCTTTTTTTGAGATGGAGTCTTGCTCTGTCACCCAGGCTGGAGTGCAGTGCTGTGATCCTGGCTCACTGCAACCTCTGCCTCCTGGGTTCAAGCGATTCTCCTGCCTCAGCCTCCCAAGTAGCAGGGATTACAGGTGCGTGCCACCAGGCCCAGCTAATTTTTGTATTTTTAGTAGAGACAGGGTTTCACCATGTTGGGCAGGCTGGTCTCGAACTCCTGACCTCAGGTGATCTGCCCGCCTCGGCCTCCCAAAGTGCTGGGATTACAGGCTTAAGCCACAGTGCCCAGCCTGAAAATGGATAATTTCATGTTATGTGAATATAACCTCAATAAAATTTTTAAAAATAAATTTTTAAAAAGGGAAATTTATTATACCTTGTCTTTCCTTCCTTTTTTTGTCTTTTCAGGTGGTGGCATTTTGGGAGCTGGTGGTGGTGGAGGAGGAGGAGGAGGAGGTGGTGGTGGTGGTTCTATAATGGTAGCGGTAGGCACAGCACCTCGGGCCTGAACTGGCTGCAATGAGGGAGCAGTCACTCCAATTGGGACAGAACATTCTGCATAACTCATAATTGCAGGTGCTGCCGCTAGTCCAAGGTAATTTGACTGCAGGCTCATTCCTCTGGCCTGATGACCCATTCCTGCTGCTGGAAGGCTAACTGGTATTGTCTGATGTCCAATTCCTGTTGCCTGGTTTCCAATCCCTGCTGCCTGGTGACCTAACACAGAAAACATAAAATGATACTATAAAAAGGACATCATGACAAGAACAGATGCAATGAAAAGAGAAGTGGGGATTAGATCACATAGAAAATGATTCCAATATATCCTTTTCTAAAAAGCATAGCCATATTTGCTGGTAGCAAAATATATTAATTTTGAATACCTTGGCATTAAACTACCTAAACATCGAAATCATCAATGTACATAAATATACAAGACAATCTGGAAGCATATGTGCTGAACGTTTTTTGTGTTTTTGAGACAGAGTTTTGCTCTGTCGCCCAGACTGGATGAAGTATAGCAGTGTGATCACAGCTCACTGCAGCCTCAACCTCCAGGGCTCAAGTGATCCTCCCACCTCAGTCTCCTGAGTAGCCGGGACTACAGGTGCAGACTACCATGCCTGGCTATTTTTGGTCTTTTTTGTAGACAGGCTTTTGCCGTGTTGCCCAGGCTGGTCTCCAACTCCTGAGCTCAAGCAATCCGCTTGCCTCAGCCTCCCGAAGTGCTGGGATTATAGGTGTGAGCCACTGTGCACGGTCAGCTAAACTGTCAAAAGTTTTTTTTTTTTTTTTAAGTAAAATAAATGCATACTGACAGTCTTTGCAATCAAGAGCCTTTAACATTTCTTTAGTTTTTATGGCATCTAATGCTGAAAAGAAAAGAAACAATACATTGAGGAAAAACCACGCTCTATGCACAATTACCTGTAGCTATAGCTGACTGGCTATAGAGAACTGGAGAACTGCCAATGGTAGCTGACCTCTGAACCACTGCAGTGCTAATTTCTGTAGCTTTCCTCTTTATTCCTTTAGTGGAAGAAGAACTAGAGATGGTGGAATCAACTGAACTCTGAAACACAAACATTTGTTATCAGTGGCTGAAGGCCATGGTTAAACATAGCCCGCTCCCACCTCCTTTTTTTGAGACAGGCTCTCATTCTGTTGCACAAGCTGCAGTGGTGAGATCATGACTCATTGCAGCCTCCTGGGCTTAAGCAATCCTCCTGCTTCGACCTCCCAAAGGTCTAGGATATAGGCGTGAGCCACCGTGCCCGGCCTTTAAACATATGCTTCTAAAATAAAACATGGTGTCAATCATGTTCCAGTCCTCAAAATCACTCAGAATGCCAAAGGGAATTACTTACCTGGCTAGTTACAACTGTGGTTTGTGCTGAAGGTTTCAAAGGGGTATCTTCCTCTGTTCCTGGGGCAGGGGGCTCCTCACTTCCCTCATCCTCCATCTCTACCTCCTGGATCTCACCATCTTCCGCAGGAGGAGGTGGTGGAGGAGGGGGTGGAGGTGATTCTGGAGGTGGAGGTGGGGGTGGTGGCATTTCCAAGGGTAATGGAGGTTGAAGCACAGGAACATTTGACTGAAGGAGGGTCCAGAATGGAGTAAGTGGCATGAGTGATGAAGAAGAAACTTGACCAGAAAAGGATTCTTTACAAAGAGAACCTATGAAAACAGGTAAGAGTCAGGGAAAAAGCAAGAAAAAAACTCCCTGGCTTATATTCATAGAAATGTTCAACTGGTCAGTAAGATAATCATTTATAGGAACCTAGCACAGTGTACAAAACAATACAGAATGTGGTGTCAAACAGCAGGGAATGGCTCCTTCCTTGAAAAAAATTTGGCCCACAGGCATCTATTCTATACTGATATCGCTAAAATATTGAACAACTCAGTTCAGAAATGACTTCCACGGAAAGATAAATTTATGAACTTCATAGCACCTTCCCCATCTGTATTATACTTGTCCTTCGGGTCCATATTTATGGATGAGTAGAAGAATATTACATCAACTCAACGAGAAATGCAGTCATCTGAATCTGTAGTTTGAAGTTTTTGATTTCAAACACTCACAAGCTTCAACATACACAAATAAAAGGTAATAGTCTGGAGTCTATTTCAAAAGTGAAGGAGTGAGTGAATAATGTGCACCTGCAGTAATTATTACACATACTTTATTTTTTAGTGAGCTAGACAAAGTGAGTAAAGACAACCCAGAATATTCATTCAAAATACTCGGGAAAGTTCTACCCATTGTGTTTAATTTGGGTTACTAAATTTAAAAAATCCATTTGCAAGGTGCTACTGTCAACTATATCATTCCTTCACACCCTTGCATACATTACATTCATTTGTGATATCACAGAGACACAAGTTAGGGATGGCAATTTTTACTTTTGCGATAAAAGAGAAATTTAGGAAGATAAATCTTCAAAGTATATAACTCAGATTTTTTAAAACTGCAGTGGTTTTGAAATTGCTGTTGCTGAAGTCTACATTACGAAATTGCAGCTGAAAAGTTGCAGGATCAGCTTTCCTCAAACTTTGTAAAAGCCATCATTGATTACTGTCTTTTCTCTGCTGGGAAAACCTTTAAAGATTAGAGAAAATAGGATATACTTACTTGTAGCCTTCCCCAGCCCTCTTTATCGTCAATAGGGAAGTTTCACAATATATGGGACTATTAGATATATATCCCAGGAATGTTGAAGGGGATTTTCTCCCTAAAATCATAGAATTTAGGAGTAGAAGAGACATGAGAAATCATCTATTTCAACCTCCTCAGTTAAAGGTAATGAAACCCAGGCAGGAACTAACTTGCCCAAGATCATATCAATGTTAGTGGCCAGACCAGAGCTAGAACTCAAGTCTGATTCCTCATCTGATACTTGCTGTTTTACTAAGATGTCCTGGTGAGATACCAGGAATCCAAGAGCTTTAGACATCTCAGTCAAAAAAAATATCACTTCACCTGGAGTAGATACCCAGAAGAAGTCACCTGTTAAATTTCATGGTCAAAAGTGGTAGATTAAATAAGGCTCAATTATGAAAGACTCTAGGGCAAGAAGGCCATTTACACTGCTTTGCTCAAAATACACACTGGCACTCAACAAGGTAAAACAAACAAAGCAACCATGAGCCATTTGGGTCTTGCTCTGTTGCCCAGGCTGGAGTGTAGGTGGTGCGATCATAGCTCATTCTAACCTCAAACACTTGGCTCAAGCGATCTTCCTACCTCAGCTTCCCGAATTGCTAGGACTACAGGTGTGCATCACCACACCTGCTAATTTTTAATTTTTTTTTTTTTTTTTTTTTTAAAGAGACAGTCTCACTATGTTGCCCAAGCTGGTCACGAATAGAGTAGTTTTACTTTTTATGGAACAGACAGACAATACATTGTATAAAAGACTTTAACAACATCATTCCCACTGTCTCCTTATTTTAAGACAGCTGCTTACTGCCACTTTTGGAAAAGGACATTGAAAAAAATTCACCAGGAACATAAATGCAGTTTTCTGGCTAAATGACCTCAAATGACTCATTAAACTTTTATATTTGGCCATATTTAATATTAATTTATGCATTAACTTTTAGACAAAATCAAGTATGGCCAAGTAGTCTACATTATACAATAGTACACAAGGACTACATCAGAACTAAGTCAATAAACGTTGAGGACTAACTTAATTATTAAGGATTAAACTCCCTTCTATTAAACTAATCACAACATACAGTAAGTAAATATAAGTTAAGATTTTCTCTATTTTCTTTCTTTTTTTTAAAAGGCTAGTCAAGTGAAGCAGCAGGACTGGAGAAGAAACAAAGTCTGTAACTGGTTGTGATTAATTAGTTGTAAACACCACTGCACTCGGACCAGCCAGATTTTCAAATATTGGTGGATGTCTCCTCTAGAAGCATAATGCAATACCAACATGTTTATGATGGTGGTGACATGCTATTATGCAGAGGAACTCAAGTAAACACAGAGTCGGTTCAAGGTTAATAATGTGGTTTATGACCTCCAACAAAGCTAATTAGAATTAACTAAACTCTGTAAATATGAGATTAAACTAGACTTGATAAAATTAGCCACAAATGACGAGCATTTTTAGAATATGTGAATCCAATACTTTTCTTCTTTTTTTTTTTTTTTTGTGACGGAGTCTCACTCTCTTGTCCACGCCGGAGTGCAGTGACGCAATCTTGGCTCACCGCAACCTCTGCCTGCCAGGTTCAAGCGATTCTCCTGCCTCAGCCTCGCGAGTAGCTGGGATTACAGGCCCACACCACCACATCCAGCTAATTTTTGTATTTTTAGTAAGAGAGGGGTTTTCGCCATGTTGGCCAGGCTGGTCTCAAACTCCTGACCTCAAGTGATCTGTGTGCCTTGGCCTCCCAAAGTGCTGGGATTACAGATGTGAGCACCTGGCCTCTGCTTTTGTACTTCATAAGCACTTCAAATTCTCACATACAATGTGTCTCCCTCAAACTTTGTTATGAGGTCAGCACATTACCCATCTCACATGAAAATAAATAATAAAAATACTCCAATCTCCAACTAAGTTTATTCAAATTATAAAAGCTGTGTCATAGAAATGACAATTATCTCCTTTATCTTACGAAGACCATCAGAAAATTCTAGTTTGAATACACATGGATGTCGTATTACAATGATGCTTCTCCTTGCTTTTAAATTTAACTTAGTTAGTATTTTTGCTGTTTAAGAGAATATTTAAGTCTGAAGCCCAAGGACAGATTAAAGTGGTATATACAGCTCTTTTTTTAGATGGACTCTTGCTCTTGTTGCCCAGGTTGGAGTGCAATGGTGTGATATTGGCCCACCACAACCTCCGCCTCCTGGGTTCAATGATTCTCCTGCCTCAGCCTCCCGAGTAGCTAGGATTACAGGCATGCGACCACGCCTGGCTAATTTTGTATTTTTAGTAGAGGCGGGGTTTCTACATATTGGGTAAGCTGCTCTTGAACTCCCGACCTCAGGTGATCCTCCTGCCTCAGCCTCCCAAAGTGCTGGGATTACAAGCATGAGCCACCACACTTGGCCTACGCAGCTTTTATTACGTGCTCAAAGATTTAAAAGCTACAAGCTTAAAACTGAATATGTTATGAGAATACAAATTCTTAATTTTTTTTTAAGACGGAGTCTTTAAGCCTGTTGCCCAGGCTGGAGTGCAGAGGTGTCATCTTGGTTCACTGTAATCTCTGCCTCCTGGGTTCAAGCGATTCTCCTGCCTCAGCCTCCCGAGTAGCTGGGATTACAGGCACCCGCCACGACACCTGGCTAATTTTTGTATTTTTAGTAGAGACAGGGTGATACCATGTTGGCTGGTCTCAAACTCCTGACCTCAAGTGATCTGCGCGCCTTGGCCTCCCAAAGTGCTGGGATTACAGCCGTGAGCTGTAATTTTTCCTTTTTCTTTTTGAGACAGGATCTCACTTTGTTGTTCAAGCTAGAGTGCAATGGTGTGAATATAGCTCACTGCAGCTTCAACCTACCAGGCTCAAGTGATCCTTCCCACCTCAGCCTTCCAAGTAGCTAGGACCACATACTCGTGCTACCAAGCTAGGCTAATATTCTGCAAAGATGGGGTCTTGCCATATTGCCCAGGCTGGTTTTGAATTCCTGAGCTCAAGTGATCCTCTTGCCTCAAACTCCCAAAGTGCTGGAATTACAGGCATGAGTCACTGCACCTAAGAACCTTGCTTCTGTAGGCGTCTTTTTTTTTTTTTTTTTTTTTAGATAAAGAGTTTTGCTCTGTCGCCCAGGCTGGAGTGCAATGGCATGATCTTGGTTCACTGCAACCTTCGCCTCCCAGGTTCAAGTGATTCTCGTGCCTCAGCCTCCGAGTAGCTGGGATTACAGGCAGCTGCCACCACGCCCAGCTAATTTTTGTACTTTTAGTAGAGGCAGGGTTTCACCATGTTGCCCAGGCTGGTCTTGAACTCTTGACCTCAGGTGATCCACCCGCCTCAGCCCCCCAAAGTATTGGGATTACAGGCATGAGCCACTGCACCCGGCCTAGGCATCTTTATTTCTATGTATAGAAAGCCTTCCTTAATTTTCCCCCCAAAGAGAAATTATTGTTTAGTATTTTGAATGAAGAGCTCAGTTTAGCAATTTAAATCAAGAAATTATACAAATTGTTCCATGGAGATTAAAAAGAAAAAGGAGCTCAACTTCACCTAAGTGACATAAGCCCAATATAAAAGATATGTTGGATATCTTGAACCCAACTCATCTTTAGAATCCACTCCATCTTTAAAAACATAATGTTAAATTCAAACACTGAAACAACAAATAATGATTAAAAATGACTTAGAAAAATAAATAGAACTTTGAAACTTCTTGGCTTCTCACAGTGTAATTTTGCACCCCTTCCCCCACTTTATTTTTGAGACAGGGTCTTGTTCTCTGTCGCTCAGGCTGGAGTGCAGTGGTACAATTATGGCTTACTGCAGCCTCAAAATCTTGGGCTCAACCAATCTTCCCACCTCAACCTCCCAAACAGCTCGGACTACAGGCGTGGGCCACTAACTATGCCTGGCTAACTTTTTAAAACAATTTTCTGAAGAGACAGGGCATTGCTGTGTTTTGTTTTTTCTCTTCTTTAAAAGATAGCTGGTTTTAACCACCACTGAGCTGATTAAGAGCTCTCTTTATTAGGCTTAGAACTGTTGATTATTGCTCTTAAATCTCACAGAACTTAGTTTAAGATTTGGATTTTACTTCGATCAAGTTTATCCTGCAATTCTAGGGGTTCTCAATAAAGAGAGGCTTAAGAATATAACCTGTTTTATCAGTGGCTTTTTCCTACACTACAACTAGTTCTGTTTTAATTAAATAGGAATGGCTCAAGAGCCTCCTTTTACCAGACAGTATCAACTATGTGTGTCATAAAGGGAGAAAACAGCTTAATACTCATCTAAAGTGTTCACAGAACATTCAGAATTGGTAACAGTGGAATTTTCAACTTTGGAACATATAAGGGATGTTGACAGTGGTCAGGAGTGGAGCCACCTATCCAGAACTACGATCAAGCCTCTTCAGTTCATTAACTGCTAAAAAGCAAACAAAAAGAACCAATATATTATTAGTCATGTCTATCACTGCTACCAAAAGAGAGGAAAAATATTCAAAAGAAAATCTCTTCATGTAAAAGGGAAGTGAAATGCCCTGTAACTTGAGAAAATGCACTTCTAAAATGTGAAGTAGAATAAAATCAGCCTTTTGCTATGTTCTGAAATTATCACTGCAGTTGTATGTGACCTGCTGACGATTTCTAGGCTATTTAAGAAGTTAACAAAATCATCTGGTACACAACCAGTTTCATTTGGTACATTACTAGTGCTTTTCTACTATCATCAGGGAGCCAGTAGAGTACAAGCATCAATTTCGATAAGTTTTAGACAAAAGAATTCAGCTCTTAACTCTGTTATTGACAAATTTCACTTTTTAAAATTTTCAAAGATCTATTACTTTAGAAACGACTCATAGACTCTTGCCTTCATATGCCATCAGTTTAACAAATAGCTACCAATTCTTAAGATTAACAGGTGGAAGTTTCTTTACACATTGGAAACTTTTTAAAAACTAAAGGAACTGAGGAGCATGAAAGCCTATCTTTTAAAAAATGTATGTAACTAAACTAAATTCTTCCAAGAGTACCTTAAAAATGGAATGAGACATCCTATTGCCAATTGTTTTAGACCAGAAGATTGCTGGTGATTTTTCATGATCAATTATTTTGCTTCTCTGAAACAAGTACTAATGGCATTTCTTCATATCATTTTGATTTGTACCAACCACGCTTTTTGTAAGATTAGTGGAGGTGAGAAATGAGGTTGCAATATGAACAGACTAAGTGTTGTATAGAAATGTATAACAAATCTCAGCATGCCACATATATTGACAGTTCAACTATCTAGTTCCTCAGCACAAGCATTCCTATTTTTGGAGACCCACAGCTTAGTCAGTGGCATGATAGAATGGTTATAAAACAATTTTTTAAAATCAAAATCTGTTAGCCTATCTTTTCACTTTGGGGCACAGTTTTACACGTGATAACAATAGTATGCTGATTTCCAACCATAATAACTCATGCATTCCTTGTTTTAGTTCACACCACTATTCTCAATCAGAAGCTTATATTATTATGACATAAAATCTTTTAATAATGTAAATTAATAAGATTTTTCCTCTAAAGTCATTTTGGCTGAATTAGTACAAGGTAAATTGTCTCACCTGTGGAAGTTTCAGAGGATTCTGTTGAATTTGAATCAGTGCCAGTTTTGTCTTTCAAGGTCTGTTTGGCAAGAGTCTCATCTCTATTTTCTTGTGCTTGGCTTTCTTCTTCTTCCTCTTCACCATCTGGAAACTCCCACTGAGACTCGCCCGACTGTTCGTTTACATAGAAATACCGTCTATGATCCCTAAATTACAAGAAAGAAAACACATGTTTTAAAACCCGTTCTCCTACAAAGACACTTCCATTTGGTCCTGTCCCAGGACAGCAGTCTGCTTTCACAGGGACGAACCTCTTAATGGACTGCTATTCACAAAGGCAACAAAGAGCTTTGACAATTGAGAATGGAGAACCAAGGATAATTCAAAGCTATTTGCACTGCCAGCAACTCTGTGAATACAGCCCTGAACCCTCTCACTCCAACAGATGAGACTTAGAAAACACTTTTCTCTTTTTTTGTGATTTGCCAATGCATAACAGGGTTTCAAGTTTCATTAATGAAGGGACTCAATCGCCTAGAACACTAATTTCCCTTCCAAAGAAGAGAACAACGAAGTTTGTGAAAGGTGACTCTTCCCCTCTTGGACCGTGGAATTCACATTTCATATTCTTGATATCAAACACAGTGAAAGCTAAAGAGAGGGAGAGGATCTGGGAGCTGAAAAATAAAAGAGCAAAGATTTCAAATAACGAAAAAAAAATCAAGAAAAGCCAAATATATAAAGAAATGTTTTCATCTGACCTGCTGGCAGAGGATAGTAATCTTGTTCTTCATTCACATCTTCAGCCACGAAGTTTTCCTTAACTTCACCGAGGTTAATCAGGAGTAGTTGCTTCCAGAGGTCCTGTAAAGCGCACAGAGCTCTCGCATGCGCTTAACCCCCAAGCCCGCCCTACTCCGTGCAACACTCTGGAGAGTAAAAACCAGCTTTGTCCATATCTTGGGAAAAAATCCGTTACATGGAACACTTTAAACATTGCTTTTGTTTCTCCAATGTGTGGCTGGCCAAACTTTGTGCTTGCGGTGCTTTGCCTGCCCAGCACCGCTAACTGCAGCTGCTCTCAGTCTCCAGACAGGCTGTCATGTCGTCAGATGGTGGTGATCACAAATCATGTCTGAGATGTCAAAGGTGAAAGGTGAAAAGGGGAGAAGAGTGCGTACCTGTCCCAGTGGCAGGACCAGCCTTTAGGAGTGGCGTTTATTTCATACTGTTTTAGTTGTTCTGCTGCATCCTGAAGTTTTCGTTTAAGGTAGTTTCCATTAAGAGCCCCTTCCCGCCAGTCTGCAATTCGAGTCTAGAATAAACAGACAAATAAGTTAAAGACTTATTATTACATGTCAGGAGACACAGGCAAAGGGGATATAAACCTTCTGCTCCAAGACTATATCCCTGTGCTCTGGCAGGACAGTAGACCAGAGAGGAAAATAAACCCCATCTTCATCTCATAAAATAATCTTAAGGCCGGGCATGGTGGCTCACGCCTGTAATCCCAGCACTTTGGGAGGCTGAGGCGGGTGGATCACCTGAGGTCAGGAGTTCAAGACCAGCCTGGCCAACAAGGTGAGACCCTGTCTGTACTAAAAATACAAAAATTAGCTGGGCTTGGTGGCAGGCGCCTGTAATCCCAGCTACTCGAGAGGCTGAGGCAGGAGAATCAACTGAACCCGGGAGGCGGAGGTTGTGGTGAGCCGAGATCATGCCATTGCACTCCAGCCTGGGCGACAAGAGTGAAACTCCGTCTCAAAAAACATCCCAAGTACGCAGCAGAGTTCTGAAAAATGAAATTGGGCTCCAGTATATTTTAACACTACCAACTCTCCAATATGTGTGAAAATGAGTAGTAGTAGTTTTGTCTTCCCTTTTGGACTTATTAAGATTGGTTTCCCCAGTAGTTTTACTTTTTTTGGGAGATAGTTCACTTATTCCAGTACTGTTAGTAATCACAGTTAAGGATTCAGTTCTTTTTTTTTTTTAGAGACGGACTCGGACTCTGGCTCTGTTGCCCAGGCTAGAGTACAGTGGAGCAATCTCTGCTCGCAACCTTCACCTCCTGGGTTCAAGCGATTCTCCTGCCTCAGCTTCCCGAGTAGCTGGGATTACAGGCATGTGCCACCACGCCCGGCTAATTTTGTATTTTTAGTAGAGATGGAGTTTCACCATGTTGGTCAGGCTGGTCTCGAACTCCTGACCTTGGTGATCTACCTGCCCCGGCCTCCCAAAGTGCTGGGATTACAGGTGTGAGCCACCGTGCCTGGCCAAGGGTTCAGTTCTTAAGAAAATCAGTCAGCTTCCTACAGGAGCTCCTTACCTAATCCTGCCCTGCCATTTTGTAAAGTATGCAGGTTACAAATAGGACTCAACTTTTCTCTTTAAACAGACTTATAATGCTTTAACACTTACAAAGTACCTTCAACATTACATGGCCTCATCTGACCATGATAATATAATTTTAATTTGTGAGAAAAAAGTCTATTTACTGTGCTTTGGTTAACACAGTTTTATTTCCTGGATTGTCGGCTCAAATATTCTTCAAGGTTAAAAATTTAAATTTAGGCTTAAAATGTAAGCAAGACAGAATCGTTAACACATACAGCATTTCATTCAAACACTTAACTGTTTATGCCAAAAAAAAAAAAAAAAAGACTTACCTCAGTCTGTAAGAGCAGCACATGAAAGTTGGAGATGGATTGTCTATTAATGCCTAGAAACTCGAATTTACTTGTCAGGGTATTTGCCAGTTCTCCAATCTGAAACTACAATGCAAAAAAGAAAAAAAGTAAAACTAGAATCCGTAACATTTTCTGTATTATGTACAATCCTTCATTTATTCTTATAGATATTAGAAATATGGGTCTGCCTATAAACAGCCTTCCCCAAACAGCTGTATTTAGTTATCCAGAATATAAAATTCTAATTTATAGTAACATAATACACATAACAAAGTGACAAATAATGACAGGAATCAAATGCATATCTACATAATCACAATGCATTTTAAAAATTATTCAAAACAATTATTTTGTTTCAGACAAAGGTCTTGCTATTGCCCAGGATGCTCCTGAACTCCTGGTCTCAAGTCAGCCTCCTGCCTTAGTCTCCCAAAGTGCTGAGATTACAGATGTGAGCCACTGTGCCCAGCCCATCATAATGCATTCTAATACAACATGGAATTCAATAGTTGCAAATGGATCCCAATATTGAAAAGCTAAACTCAAAGAGTAGAATTAGAATGGTGGTTGCTAGGGGCTGGAGACAGGGGAATATGGGGAGATGTTGGTCAAAGAATACAAACTTTCAGTTATAAAATAAATTTTGGGGCTGGGTGTGGTGGCTCACACCTGTAATCCCAGCACTTTGGGAGGCTGAGGCAGGTGGATCACAAGGTCAATAGATAGAGACCATCCTCGCCAACATCGTGAAACCCCACCTCTACTAAAAATACAAAAATTAGGTGAGGATGGTGGTGCACACCTGTAGTCCCAGCTACTCGGGAGGCTGAGGCAGAAGAATTGCTTGAACCTGGGAGGTGGAGGTTGCAGTGAGCCAAGATTGTGCCACTGCAATCCAGCCTGGTGACAGAGCAAGACTCCATCACCCCAACACCCCCCCCCCCAAAAAAAAAGGAAATCTAAAGCACAGCATGGTGACTACAGTTAACAATACCTGAAATTTGTTAAGAGTATAGATCTGATGTATCATCCCCACATACAAACACAAGACAACTCTCCAAGGTAACGTGATATGTAAGTTACTTTACCTGGTTTGTGATAATCATATCATAATATATACATATAACAAATTATGACATAGTACATGCAAGATATATGTATAGTCAACTACAGCTCAACAAAGCTGGAAAAAATAGATCCTGAATGATATAAATACCAATATTGTCAAATTGCCATTTATCCATTAATTGCTTATATTAGCCACCTGCTGAAGCCTGAAACAAAATTAATTATTCCAGTCCCTTCTACTTGGTTGTTCCCTAACTAGTAACTGGATACTCTTTCAAGTCAAAAGAATATGTTAAGTGGTTTTTCCAACAGACCACCCTTAAATAGCTAATACTTATTTGGTCTAACTCTCCCATGAGATTAGGTTAGAAATGCAATTCAAACTAAATTTGCCTTTGTGTAAAGACAAGTATTTCACACAGGAATTAAATCTGTGACTTTTCTCCCAAACTAGAGAAGCCTATAAGCTACTGCTTCTCAAACAAGAGGCTTAATTTGAAGAAAGCAATTGAGCAGTTAGAATTTTAGATAATTTCTCAGTATCAAGTCAGCCTTAATTATTTCAGACTTAAATATGATCTTTTCACCTAACCAAGTAAACAATTTAGGTTTGGAAACAGTAAAGATTATTTTTACTACTTGTTAACAGAAAGCAGTTTAATAAATGGCATTAAAAAAAAATGGGGCCCGGTGCGGTGGCTCATGCCTGTAATCCCAGCACTTTGGGAGGCCGAGGCAGGTGTATCACGAGGTCAGGAGATCGAGACCATCCTGGTTAACACGG
Source organism: Homo sapiens (assembly GCF_000001405.40). Classification (NCBI taxonomy): domain Eukaryota; kingdom Metazoa; phylum Chordata; class Mammalia; order Primates; family Hominidae; genus Homo; species Homo sapiens. The sequence continues at coordinate 168,265 of NW_019805496.1, forward strand.
TGAAACCCCATCTCTACTAAAAATAAAAAAATTAGCCAGGCGTGGTGGCGGGCACCTGTAGTCCCAGCTACTCGGGAGGCTGAGGCAGGAGAATGGTGTGAACCCAGGAGGCGGAGCTTGCAGTGAGCCGAGATCATGCCACTGCACTCCAGCCTGGGAAACAGAGCGAGACTCCGACTCACAAAAAAAAAACACTTGCCAGGCGTAGTGGTGGGTGCCTGTAATCTCAGCTACTTGGGAGGCTGAGGCAGGAGAAGTGCTTGAACGTGGGAGGCAGAGGTTGCAGTGAGCCAAGATCGGGCCACGGCACTCCAGCCTGGATGGCAGAGCAACACTCTCTCTTGGGAAAAAAAAAGAAAAAAAAAAAAAATTTGGCGGGCCGGGCGCAGTGGCTGACGCCTGTAATCCCAGCACTTTGGGAGGCCAAGGTGGGGGAATCATGAACGCCAGGAGTTCGAGACCGGCCTGGCCAACATGGTGAAACCCCGTTTCTACTAAAAATACAAAAATTAGCTGGGAGTTGAGGTGCGTGCCTGTAATCCCAGCTACTGGGGAGGCTGAAGCAGGAGAATGGCTTGAACCCAGGAGGCAGGCAGAGGTTGCAGTGAGCTGAGATCGTGCCACTGCACTCCAGCCTGGGTGACAGAGCAAGACTCCGTCTCAAAATAATGATAATAATAATAAAAATTTGTCAAGTTGCATTAAGTAATATACATACTTTCAAATCCTGTTCTTCTTCTACTTTTGGTGTTGTCTGTACTTTTATTTTCTCTGGAGATTCTTCTACTTCCATCTCTTTATCTGAATTCTCATCTATTTTTTCTGAATTTTCAGCACCAATTGCTGTAAAAAAAACATGTAAAATTAAACCAAAGTACCAATACTTATAGAACACTATATACCTTTTCCCCCATAGCAGATATCTGCAAAAGATTATTAGTTCTTTCTCTCTTGCCTGTTTTACTTACTTGTTAAAACTCTTCAAACATGTCAGCCTACTGTCTATATAACCCAAAAACAATTCAGGGCCGGGCACAGTGGCTCATGCCTGTAATCCCACCACTTTGGCATTTGGAGGTGAAAAGATCACGAGGTCAGGAGATCGAGACCATCTTGGCTAACACAGTAGAACCGTCTCTACTAAAAATACAAAAAATTAGCCACGCATGGTGGCATGTGCCTGTAGTCCCAACTGAGGCAGGAGATATGCTTGAACCCGAGAGGCGGAGGTTGCAGTGAGCCGAGATTGCGCCACTGTACTCCAGCCTGGGTGACAGAGTGAGACTCCATCTCAAAAAATAAATAAATAAAATAAAAATCCTTTATAATCAACTTTCTTAAAATACATCTATAAGTAAAATTTACTTTAGCCTATCAAATTACCCTTAAGTTTCTGCTTTCCCCTTCTCCTTAACATCTTTTCTAATCTTCTCTTCCAGAATACCACTGCTTCAATTACTTATAATAGCTAGACAGCAAACCTGAGTATGTAAGAATTCTTTAACAAGTTGCAGGGGAAGGTGCTCAAAAGAGCAACATTATTAGCATTATTATTTTTTAGAGACAGGGTCTCATTCTGTCGCCCAGGCTGGAGTGCAGTGGCATGATCTCGGCTCACTGCAGCCTCAACCTCCTAGGCTCAACGGATCCTCCCACCTCAGCCTCCCAAGTAGCTGGGACTACAGGCAGGTGCCACCGTGTTCAGCTAGTTTTTGTATTTTTAGTAGAGATGGGGTTTCACCATGTTGCCCAGGCTGGTCTCAAACTCCTGGACTCACGCAATCTGCCTGCCTCAGCCTCCCAATGTGCTGGGATTATAGGTGTAAGCCACTGCACCCAGGCTGCATCATAATTTTTTTTTTTTCTGAGATGGAGTTTCGCTCTTGTTGCCCAGGCTGGAGTACAGTGGCGTGATCTTAGCTCATTGCAACCTTTACCTCCCAGGTTCAAGTGATTCTCCTACCTCAGCCTCCCAAGTAACTGGGATTACAGGCATGTGCCACCAAGCCTGGCTACTTTTGTATTTTTAGTAGAGATGGGGTTTCACCATGTTAATCAGGCTAGTCTCGAACTCCTGACTGGTGATCCGCCCGGCTAGGCCTCTCAAAGTGCTGGCATTACAGGCGTTAGCCACCACGCCCGGCATGCATCATTATTTTCAAACCATCTGGTAACTTCCTTCCTGAACTGGTGAAGACCTACAGACATCTATATTGAATCCACCTACTTAGTTGGTGCTATTGGTAATGGGAATCTCCAAAAGAGAAGAGGTCTACCAACTTAAAACGGAGCACACAATATGAACTCTTTTATCTTTGCTTTCCAACACCTGCATACTCAAACTAATTCACACAGTCTGAATGACTGCCAGTTAAAAAGCCAAAAATGGCCGGGCATGGTGCCTCACGCCTGTAATCCCAGCACTTTGGGAGGCCGAGGAAGGTGGATCACCTGAGGTCAGTTCAAGACCAGCCTGGCCAACACGGTGAAACCCTGCCTCTACTAAAAATACAAAAAATTAGCTGGGTGTGGTGCTGGGCGCCTGTAATCCCAGCTACTCAGGGGGCCGAGGCAGGAGAATCGCTTGAACCTGGGAGGTGGAGGTTGCAGTGAGCCGAGATTGCACCATTGCAGTCCAGTCTGGGCAACAAGAGCAAAACTCCGTCTAAAAAATCATCATAATTTTTTAAAAAGCCAAAAATACCTCAAATGTGAAAACCGTGACTTTGGGTAATCCTTCATCTTCAGGATTAAAAGTAAAAATGTAACTTTAAATAGCTTTTAATATTTTAAACTTTTTTTTTTGAGATGGAATCTTTGTCGCCCAGGCTGGAGAACAGTGGAGCTATCTCGGCTCATTGCAATCTCAACCTCCTGGGTTCAAGCAATTCTCCTGCCTCAGCCTTCCAAGTAGCTGGGGCTTCAGGTGTTTGCCACCATGCCCAGGTAATTTTTTTTTTTTTTTTTTTTTTTTTTTTTTTTTTTTTAGTAGAGACAGGGTTTTGCCATGTTGGCCTGGCTGGTTTCAAACTCCTGGCCTCAAGTGATTTGTCCACCTCAGCCTCCCAAACCGCTGGGATTACAGATGTGAGGCACGGCGCCTGGCTTTTTTTTTTTGAGGCACGGTCTTACTCTGTTGCCCAGGTGGGAGTATAGTGGTATGATCACAGCTTATTGCAGTCTTGACCTCCTCCAGCCTCATTTTTTGTTTTTTAGTAGAGACAAAGTCTCACTATGTTGCCCAGTTTGGTCTCGAACTCCTGAACTCAAGTAATCCCCATGCCTCAGCCTCCCAGAATGCTGGGATTAAAGCTGAGCTATTGCATCCGGCCTAAAACTTTTTATTAAGTCCTTAACCTTATAATATAATAGCCTGGCTCTCCTTTTACCTGATCGTTAATATTCCCTCTTTATTATCAAATTGTCTGAAACAAAATCTTCCCACTAATCCCATTTATTAATTTTTAATGCCATTATATATTAAAAGTCTTCTATCTGGTGGCAGGTCCAAGAATTTAACAATTTTAAGGATGGCTAGAGTTAAAGACTAGAATGTTTTGGAGGGCAAGTACACAGGCTCTATTAAATTAGAATGCACACACCCCTTTGACCTGGCAATATACCACTAGGAATCTTTACTGCTGTGAAACTAGAATGTACATAAAATATATTCATCAGGATGTTACCACAGTATTATTTATTGTGAAACAGGTTAACAAATGCATATAATATAAAGAATAAAATTAGCTCAGTGAGGTGGCACAAGCCTATAATTCCAGCACTTTGGGGGAGCGAGGCAGGAGCATCAATTGAGCCCATGAATTCAAAGCTGCATTATGATTATGTCAACTATATTCGGCCTGGATGACAGAGTAAAATCTGTCTCCTTTTTCTTTTGAGATGGGAGTTTTGCTCTTGTTGCCCAGCCTGGAGTGCAATGGTGCGATGTTGGCTCACCACAACCTCCATCTCCCAGGTTCAAGCGATTCTCCTGCCTCAGCCTCCCGAGTAGCTGGGATTACAGGCATGCGCCACCACGCCCGGCTAGTTTTATGTATTTTTGTTTGTTTGTTTGTTTGTTTAGTAGAGACAGGGTTTCTCCACGTTGGTCAGGCTGGTCTCGAACTCTCAATCTCGGGTGATCCGTCTGTCTCGGTCTCCCAAAGTGCTTGGATTATAGGCGTGAGCCAGGCCAACATCCTCTCTCTTAAAAGAAACAAAAATTCAAGTAAATTGGTCAGGCGCAGTGTCTCACGCCTGTAATCCAAGCACTTTGGGAGGCAGAGACGGGCGGATCACCTGAGGTCGGGAGTTCGAGATTAGCCTGGCCAACATGATAAAACCCTGTCTGTACTAAAAATACAAAAATTAGCTGCGCAAGGTGGCGTGCGCCTGTAATCCCAGCTACTCGGGAGGCTGAGATAGAACTGCTTGTACCCGGGAGGTGGAAGTTGCAGTGAGCCACGATCGTGACACTGCAGTCCAGCCTGGGTGACAGAGTGAGACCCCGTCTCAAAAAAAAAGTAAATATAACATGGCTTATTAAAATATCAAAATATTAACATGTTAATATTGAGTCTTCCCAGGTTTCTCTGCCATCACAGCCACACCAGATATGACCTCTACCCTCATGGTGCCAGTCATTATGTTCCTTTAGCTTCCTCATGGACAGATCTTTAAGCACAACATACATATGTATTTGTTTTTTTTTTCCCCGAGACAGTCTCACTCTGTCGCTTAGGCTGAAGTGCAGTGGCACAAACTCGGCTCACTCCAACTTCCGCCTCCTGGGTTCAGGTGATTTCCTGCCTCAGTCTCCCAAGTAGCTGGGATTACAGGCGAGCACCACCAGGTGCAGATAATTTTGTATTTTTAGTAGAGACGGGGTTTCACCATGTTGGCCAAGATGGTCTCGATCTCCTGACCTCGTGATCCACCTGCCACGGCCTCCCAAAGTGCTGGGATTACAGGCATGAGCCACTGCACCCAGCCACATTTTTTTTGTGTGTGTGATGGAGTCTCATTCTATTGCCCAGGCTGGAGTGCAGTGGTGCCATCTCAGCTCACCACAACCTCCACCTCCCCAGTTCAAGAGATTCTCCTACCTCAGTCTCCCAAGTAGCCGCCACGCCCAGCCTATTTTGCAGTTTTGGTAGAGACGGGGTCTCACCATGTTGGCCAGGCTGGTCTCGAACTCCTGACCTCAGGTGATCCACCCACCATGGCCTCCCAAAGTGCTGGGATTACAGGCGTGAGCCACCGTGCGCCAGTCTGTTTTTCTTTTTCTTTTGAGGCAGGGTCTTGCTCTGTCACTCAGGATGGACTGTAGTGGTGTAATCATAGCTCACTGCAGCCTCGAACTCCTGGGCTCAAGCTATCTTCCTCCCTCAACATCCTGAGTAGCTGGGATTATATCCGTGTGCCACCACACTGGCTAATTTTTAAAAAACATTTTAGAGACAGTGTCTTGCTATATTGTCCAGGCTGGTCTTGACTCCTGGCCTCAAATGATCTTTCCGCTTTGCCCTCCGAAAGTAAATATTATTGTTTCTATGATTAAGCCACATTGATGCACATAACTATGGTATGTTCACTTTGTCACTGCTGCTTAGTATTCCTTTCTAAGAATATACCACAGGGCTGGTCGCAGTGGCTCACGCCTGTAATCCCAGCACTTTGGGAGGCTGAGGCGGGTGGATCACAAGGTCAGGAGTTCAAGAACAGCCTGGCCAAGATGGTGAAACCCCATCTCTACTAAAAATACAAAAATTAGTCAGGCGCAGTGGCAGGCGCCTGTAATCCCAGCTACTCGGGCGGCTGAGGCCGGGGAATCGCTTGAACTCGGAGGGTGGAGGTTGCAGTGAGCTAAGATCATCCACTGCACTCCAGCCTGGGCGACAGAGTAAGACTCCGTCTCAAAAAAAAATAAAAAAATAAAGAATGCACCACAATTTATCTATGATACCTCTAATGGACATTTGAGTGCTCTATAGGGTTTTTTTTCATAGCACAAATGCAGCAATTTTTTTTAGTGAAACATGGACACAATTTAAATGTCCATCAACAGTGGGCAGAGTTAAATACGCACATCTACACCACTCAGTTTTAACCAATGAACAATAATTTTTAAGGCACGTTGTTAAGTGAAAACTGTATGTTGCCTAATAATCTATATGCTCTCATATATGGTAAAATTTACATATATACACATAAACACACTCATACATACCTAACTGTAAACGTATATAAAGAACATGGTCTGGAAGGATATATGTTTATAAAGGACAGAGAAAATAGCTGGGCACAGCTGGGATTACATGCCTGTACTCCCACTGCTTTGGGAGGCCAAGGTGGGCAGATCACCTAAGATCAGATGTTTGAGACCAGCCTGGCCAACATGGTGAAATCCCATTTCCACTAACAACACAAAAACTAGCTGGGCATGGTAGCAGGCGCCTGTAATCCCAGCTACTCAGGAGGCTGAGGCAGAGAATTGCTTGACCCCGGGAGGTGGAGGTTCCAGTGAGCAGAGATCGTACCACTGCACTCCAGGCTGGGGGACAGAGCAAGACTCCGTCTCAAAAAAAAAAAAAAAAAAAAAAAAAAAAGGACCACGGGGTAGGGAATGAGAATAATGAAAAGATAAAGAGGATTTACAGAATTTTCCTTTATGTTATTTCGAACTGCCAACTGAAAAGAAAAAATTCAGGCTAGGGGTGCTGGCTCATGCCTGTAATCCCAGCACCTTGCAAGGCTAAGGTGGGCAGGTCACCTGAGGTCAGGAGTTCGAGACCAGCCTTGCCAACATGGTGAAACCCCATCTCTACTGAAAAATACAAAAAATTAGCTGGGCGTGGTGACGGGCGCCTGTAATCCCAGCTACTCAGGAGGCTGAGGCAGCAGAATCACTTGAACCCAGGAGGCACAGGTTGCAGTGAGCCAAGACTGCACCATTGCACTCCAGCCTGGGCAACAAGAGTGAAACTCCGTCTCAAAAAATATAAATAAAAAGAAAAGAAAAAATTCAAACAAGGATGTCTTTCTTTATTTAACACCTGTATTGTTGTTTTTTTTTTGTTTGGTTCTTTGTTTCTTTTTTTTCTTTTATCAAGAAACAAGGGTCTTGCTATGTTGCCCAGCTAGCCTGGAACTCCTAGGGTCCAGGGATCCTTCTGCCTCAGTTTCCTGTGAAGCAGCACTGGGCTGTTTTTGAACCACGATCCATAAAAGTATTTTCTTCTAGGTGTACTCAACTAAGGTTTGGCGTCCTTATCTTACTGCTGACTTTCCACTACAGAATTAGGGCCACAGCTGAAAGCGGTGGCTCACGCCTGTAATCCCAGCACTTTGGGAGGCGGGCGGATCAACTGAGATCAGGAGTTCGAGATCAGCCTGGCCAACATGGCGAAACTCCGTCTCTACTAAAAATACAAAAAATAGCCAGGCGCGGTGGCAGGCACCTATAATCCCAGCTACTCGGGAGGCTGAGGTAAGAGAATTGCTTGAATCTGGGAGGCGGAGGTTGCAGTGAGCCAAGATCATGCCTTTGTACTCCAGCCTGGGTGACAGAGTGAGACCTCCGTCTCAAAAAGGAAAAGAAAAAAAAATAATTAGGGCCAAATGGAGATTAAAATATTAGCTTCATCCAGGGATCTCTGAAAATAGATTAAAAAATGCAGCAGGAGCTCTTCGACCTTACCATGAATGAATGATAAGGTCCTTATTACCTGAATGAAGACAACTTGGGTCCTCATGACACAATCAAACTCTCTACCCACCCACACAGAGGCTGGGCAACGTAGACAGAGAGAAGAAATGGGACTGGACTCTGAATACACCACCATCCAGTGGGTGTCAGCCTCTCAGGCTCTTACTCCTCTACTAGAAAAAGATCTGGAAAAGGTAGAGAGGTGGATGGAAGCTTCCTTCCCAGCACTTCTCCCAAAGAGTAAAAGTACAATCTCCTGTTTTGTTGAAGAGGAAACAAAAAAAGACAAGAGTTTCCTTCCCCTCTATATCTTTCAACTCTGAAGTTTAATGTGAAGCACAAATTACCAGTTTCTCCATTTTCTGGAGTATCTCGTCCAGTTTTACTAGAACTCCTACTGGTAGATTCTGGACTGGTAGCTCGAACAAACATCTTCCATTTTCCTCTTTTAGACATAAGCCTACGCATTCCATCTTGAGATGCTGGCTGGCTGATATCAGAACGTGGACTAGACCCTGACACACTACCATCTCCTTCCTCCAAGGCTCGCAACTCTGCCTACAAAGAACATGACAATTAAGTTAGTGTCATTAACTGCTTATTAATATGTATAATCAGAATAATAAACAAGACTATGTTGTTGAAATTTAAATTCTTTGAGAACAGAAAGCACTTTTTTTTTTTTGGAGACAGGCTCTCCCTCTGTTGCCCAGGTTGGAGTGCAGTGGCATGATCATGGCTCGCTGTAGCTACAACCTTCTGAGCTCAAGCAATCCTCCCACCTCACCCTTCCAAGTAGCTGGAACTACAGGCACATGTCATCATACTTTTTTTTTCTAGTAAGAGATGATATCTGGGTATGTTGCTCACATTGGTCTCAACTTCTGGGCTCAAGTGATCTCCTGCTCAGCCTCCCAAAGTCCTGGGATTACAGGCATGAGCCACTGCACTCGGCCTACTCACTCTATTTTTATTTTTTAATTTTGCCCATTTTTTTGTGGGTACATAGTAAGTGTATATATTTATGGGATACATGAGATGTTTTGACACAGGTATGCAATGTGAAATAAGCACATCATGGAGAATGGGATAACCATCCCCTCAAGCATTTATCCTTTGAGTTACAAATAATCCAACTTCATTCTTTAAAGTTATTTTATAATATACAGTTATTATTGACTAGTCACCCTACTGTGCTATCAAATAGTAGGTCTTATTCATTCTTTCTGGTTTTTTTCTGGTACCCATTTGTATAAGTCTGAGTAATGTCAAGTCTCTTTATTGATTATCAACTACCTGTTGTGGGAAGTCAGGGATCCTGAATGGAAGGACCAGCTGAAGCCATGGCAGAGGAACATAAATTGTGAAGATTTCATTTTAATATGGACATTTATCAATTCCCAAATAACACTTTTACAATTTCTTATGCCTTTCTTACTTTAATCTCTTAATCCTGTTATCTTAGTAAGCTGAGGATGTACATCACCTCAGGACCACTGTGATAATTGTGTTAACTGTACAAATTGATTGTAAAACGTGTTTGAACAGTATGAAATCAGTGCACCTTGAAAAAGAACAGAGTAACAGTGATTTTTAGGGAACAAGGGAAGAAAACCATAAGGTCTCACTGCCTGCAGGGTCAGGCAAAAAGAGCCATATTTTTCTTCTTGCATAGAGCCCATAAATGGACATGCAAGTAGGGAAGATATCGCTAAATTCTTTTCCTAGCAAGGAATATTAATATTAATATCCTGGGGAAGGAATGCATTCCTGGGGGTAGGTCTATAAACTGCCGCTCTGGGAATGTCTGTCCTATGCGGTTGAGATAAGGACTGAGATACGCCCTGGTCTCCTGAAGTACCCTCAGGCTTATTAGGGTGGGGAAAAACCCGGCCCTGGTAAGTCTGTGGTCAGACTGATTCTCTGCTCTTGAACCCTGTTTTCTGTTGTTTAAGATGTTTATCAAGACAACATGTGCACCGCTGAACATAGACCCTTATCAGTACCTTTTTGCCCTTTGAAGCACATGATCTACTCCCTGTTCTTACACCTCCTCCCCTTTTGAAACCCTTAATAAAAAACTTGCTGGTTTGAGGCTCGGGTGGGCATCATAGTCCTACCGATATGTGATGTCACCCCCGGCGGCCCAGCTGTAAAATTCCTCTCATTATACTCTTTCTATTTCTCAGCTGGCCGACACTTATGGAAAATAGAAAGAACCTAGGTTGAAATATTGGGGGTGAGTTCCCCCGATAACTACCAAAAGTATCATCAAGGACCAAAAAACCTACACCTCTGTAGTTTAAAGTTTTTGCTGCATAAGCTTCAACATACCTAGATGATGGGATAAGAAAAACAAAATCCCAATAATGGTTGTAAGTCAAGCACAATGATCCCTGTAGAGTAGTACTGAGGAAAAAACATTCTACAAGTAACTTTCAAAAGCTTACTTTTTTCCTTTCCAAAACTAGCTCCAGTTCAAGGGTATCTTGTTCCTCTTCCTCCTCACTTTCTCCAGATTGGACAACACTGCAAAGATCCTCCTGAGAAGGGTCTTCTATATTGTCCAACATAATTTCCTGTGGCTTTACTATTGTTGTTGCTTCTTCTACTGTTGTACTTGTTTCTTTTACTTCTGAAACTGGCTCCTCTTTACAAATTACTTTTCTTCTCCATCTCTCTTCTTCTTCTTTTATTCCCTCAGGCAATAAAGGAGCAAGCAGCGATGCTGCCACCCCTTTCTTCTCCTCCTCACTATTTGAGAGAGCCTGAATTCCTTCATTTACTTCCTATAAAGAACAAAATAATTTAGTCTCATTTAATTCTGAAACAAATCTCACCTGCACATACATTCAATTGCACACACATTCATATTAACTGTTTTCAGTAGCTGAATACTCAAGGTAAAAACGACTTTTTTTTTTTTTGAGATGGAGTCTCGCACTGTCACCCAGGCTGGAGTGCAGTGGCACAATCTTGGCTCACTGCAACCTCTGCCTCCCAGGTTCAAGCTATTCTCCTGTCTCAGCCTCCCAAGTAGCTGGGATTACAGGCGCCCGCCACCATGCCCAGCTAATTTTTTGTATTTTTAGTAGAGGCCTTTCACCACGTTGGCCAGGCTGGTCTCAAACTACTGACCTTGTGATTTGCCCACCTCAGCCTCCCAAAGTGCTGGGATTACAGGTGTGAGCCACCGTGCCCGGCCAAAACCACTTACTCCCAACAGGTGAGTATATATTTATACCATTACATTATTACTTTAGACAGACACTGACTGAATGAGAGCCTAGTTCTAGGTAGGATTCAAATATATCCTCCCTGCTATTCTCAGGATGTCAAAAGGCAGACTAGTAGTAAACAGAGATAGATTTAAGATCAGTATTTTGTCAGCTCATAACATGACTGGATAAATCTTTACCTTCTTCTGTATGATGAGAAATTTTTTTTTTTGAGAGAGTCTCACTCTGTTGCCCAGGAGTGCAATTGCGTGATCTCAAGTCACTGCAACCTCTGCCTCCCAGGTTCCAGCGATTCCCAGCCTCACAGCCTTAGCCTCCCAAGTAGCTGGGATTACAGGGATGCACCACTACACCCAGCTCATTTTTGTTTCTGTTTTTGAGACGAACTCTCGCTCTTCTTGCCCAGGCTGGAGTGCAAAGTGTGATGTCGGCTCACTGCAACGTCTGCCTCCCGGGTTCAAGCAATTTCCCTGCCTCAGCCTCCTGAGCAGCTGGGATTATAGGCGAGAGCCACCAAGCCTGGCTAATTTTTTTTGTACTTTTAGTAGACACAGGGTTTCACCACGTTGGCCAGGCTGGTCTCGAACTCCTGACCTCAGGTGATCCGCCCACCTTGGCAACAGGCCCAATTTTTGTATTTTTAGTAGAGACAGGGTTTTACCAGGTTGGCCAAGTTGATCTTGAACTCCTGACCTCAGGTGATCTGCCCACCTCAGCCTCCGAAAGTGCTGGGATTACAGGCGTGAGCCACCATGCTGGGCCTGATAAGAAAATTTAGTAAGTATGCCATGAAGGTGATTTAGACTAAAGTGAACTATTCCTAGGCCGGGCGCAGTGGCTCATGCCTGTAATTCCAGCACTTTGGGAGGCCAAGGCAGGCGGATCACAAGGTCAGGAGTTTGAGACCAGCCTGGCCAACATAGTGAAACCCCATCTCTGCTAAAAATACAGAAATTAGCCCGGCATGGCGGCGTGCGCCTGTAATCCCAGCTATTCGGGAGGCTGAGGCAGAAGAATCGCTTGAACCTGGGAGGCAGAGGTTGCAGTGAACTGAGATCATGCCACTGTACTCCAGCTCGGATGACAGTGTGAGAGACTGTCTCAAAAAAATAAAATAGCTGGGCGTGGTGGCTCATGCCCGTAATCCCAGCACTTTGGGAGGCCAAGGTGGGAGGATCACATGGTCAGGAGTTCGAGATCAGCCTGGCCAATATGGTGAAACCCCGTCTCTACTAAACTACAAAAATTAGCCGGGCGTGGGACAGGCGCCTGTACTCCCAGCTACTCGGGAGGCTGAGGCAGGAGAATCGCTTGAACCCGGGGGGTGGAGGTTGCAGTGAGCAGAGATCGCGCCACTGCACTCCAGCCTGGGTGACAGAGCTAGGCTAGGTCTCAAAGAAAAAAAAAATAATAAAAATAAAAAATAAAAATAAAATAAAATAAAATAAAATGAACTATTCCTGAAATGAAATTTGTGATTAAAGTATCTGCTTCTCCCATTGGGGTAACACTTGTCCTATCCTCCTTTCTGTAACTGTAAATTTAAGTTATTATTATTATTTCTGGATGGTCTCACTCTGTCCAGGCTGGAACACACTGGCACAATGATAATTTTGAACTCCTGGGCTCAAGCTATCCTCTTGCCTCTGCCTCCTGAGTAGCTGGGACTACAGGTGTGTGCTACCTTGCCTGGGTAATTTTTCTTTTGTAGAGATGGGGTTGATCTTGTTATGTTTTCCAGGCTGGTTTAGAACTCCTGCACTCAAGCCATCTTCCTGCCCTGATTAAATTATTATTTTATTATTATTATTAAATTTTTTTTTGAGATGGAGTCTCACTCTGTCACCCAGGCTGGAGTGCAGTGGTGCGGTCTCAGCTCATTGCAACCTCTGCCTCCCAGATTCAAGCGATTCTCCTGCCTCAGACCCCCAAGTAGCTGGGACTACAAGCATGTGCCACTACACCCAGTTATTTTAGTATTTTTAATAGACGGGGTTTTACCATGTTGGCCAGGCTGGTCTTGAACTCCTAACCTCAAGTGATCCGCCTGCCTTGACCTCTCGAAGTGCTGGGATTACAGGTGTGAGCCACTGCGCCAAGCTCAATTATATTATTTTAAAGTATTTTTTTTGGGCTACATGCAGTAGCTCACACCTATAATGTAAGCAATTTGGGAGGCCGAGGCAGAAGCATCACTTGAGCTCAGAGTTTGAGACCTGTCTGGCAAACATGGTGAGACCACGTCTCTCAAAAAACAAACAAACAAACAAACAAACAAACAAAACCTGGCATGGTGGTGCACACCTGTAGTCCCAGCTACTAAGCAGTCTGAGGCAGGACTGCTTGAGCTCAGGAGAGTAAATCTGCAGTGAGCCATGGTCGTGCCACTGTACTCTAGCCTGGGTGACAGAGTCAGATCCTGTCTCAAAAATAAGTAAATAAAAAGGAAAGGTGCGGTGGCTTGTGCCTGTAATCCCAGCGTCTGAGGCAGGTGGATCACTTGAGGTCAGGAGTTCAAGACCAGCTTGACCAACTGGTGAAACCTCGTCTCTACTAAAAAAAAATAGAAAAATTAGTCAGGCGTTGTGCCTGTAATCCAAGCTACTCGGGAAGTTGAGGCAGAATTGCTTGAAACTGGGAGGCGGAGGATGCAATGAGCTGAAATCGCGCCACTCCCTTCCAGCCTGGGTAACCAAGCAAGACTCTGTCTCAAAAAGAAAAAAATTAAAATTAAAATATATTTTGATGCAAAAAAGTCTTTAAAATTGAAGATAAATTGGAATTCAATATACACTCCCTAAGGAATACAACTTACTTTTCTTACTAATTAGGCTATAGAAATGCTCAGGTTTCACTAACATAGTATCCGTTATTGAAAAATCCAAAATCTGAAACCGTTTGAGCACTGACATGATGATCAAAGGAAATGCTCACTGGAGCATCTCAGATTTCACATTTTCAGATTAAGAATACTCAACTGCTAAGTATAACGCAAATATTTCAGAATTCAAAAAAATTCAAAATCTAAATTATCTCCGATCCCAGGCATTTCAATTAAGAAATACTCAACCTGCAGTAGTTTTTAAAGTAGTTACCTTTATATTTTTAAAATGTCTTATATATGGAATCCGAAAAATAATAGAATGATTCTATGTGAAGTGGAGCCCTGTCTGGACTGCTGCTCCCACGTCCTTTGCAATGATCCAAGAGGCCTCTGTGATACCCTAAAGCTCTCAAAGAAAAAGTGAAGTGGGCCAGCTGCAGTGGCTCATGCCTGTAATCTCAGCACGTTGGGAGGCTGAGGCAGGTAGATCACCTGAGGTCAGGAGTTTGAGACCAGCCTGACCAACATGGTGAAACCCTGCCTCTAATAAAAATACAAAAATTAGCCAGGCATGGTGGCAGGTGCCTGTAATGCCAGCTACTCAGAAGGCTGAGGCAGGAGAATCACTTCTTGAGCCTGGGAGGCAGAGGTTGCAGTGAGCTGAGACAGCACCACTGCGCTCCAGCCTGGGCAACAGAGCGAGACTCCATATCAAAAAAAAAAAAAAAAAAAAAAAAAAGGCCAGATGTGGTGGCTCACGCTTGTAATCCCAGCACTCTGGGAGGCCAAGGCAGGCGGATCATGAGGTCAGGAGATCGAGACCATCCTGGCTAACACAGTGAAACACCGTCTCCACTAAAAATACAAAAAATAAGCCAGGTGTGGTAGCGGGTGCTTGTAATCCCAGCGACTCAGGAGGCTGAGGCAGGAGAATGGTGTGAACCCGGGAGGTGGAGCTTGCAGTCAGCTGAGATCGCACCACTGTACTCCAGCCTGGGTGACGGGGCGAGACTCTGTCTCAAAAAAAAAAAAAAAAAAAAAAAAAAAAAGAAAAAAGAAAAAAGAAAAAGTCAAGTGAGTAACCGCTATAAAGGCTACATAATACACAGAAACAAAGTGAAAGTTATGAAACTTATCCTATTTCACATGTATGACATAAAATATTAAGAGAAGGCTTCCACTCCTGTGCTCAGAGTAACGCTTATTAGATCTGAAAATAAACAAATGAGGTAAGTTTCGACACTGACCTTTTTAACTTCTCGCTTGGCTATGACTGGTCCACTTTTACTACTGGAAACAGAAATCGTTTTCTCCTTAGAATATATGTCTGTATTTACCACAAAACTAGTTTCAGCACCTGGCACAGAACTAAAAAAATATATACTTAGCAAGAGAAATATAAGACAAATACTATCAGCAAAAGATAAGGCTTCAATTTCCTTCTAGGCAATTTCACTTTTAAATTTATTCTTACCTGGGCTGGTAATGCTGTAATCCCTGTACCTGTGTGGCAAGATATTGGGGTAACTCCCAAGTCACTTCATTTGTTTGTGTATTCCAATAATAATAACATCCCGTGTTCTCATCCCAGACTTCCTGCCAATCGCCCATCTCAATTCCGACTAGAAGATAAAACAAATTTTAAGCACAAATCCCTCTACAATTCTGGCTTACATATAAGCTCAAAAGCCAAAATCACCTAACAGTTTCTCAAAACAGCACTGTTAACTTTTGGGCACACAGGTCTTTGTTGTGGAGGGGCAATCCTATGTGGAGGTTTTAGCAGCACCCCTGGCCTCTGCCCACTAGATACAGTAGCACTCCCATCCACCCTGCCTCCTACATTGTGACAATAAAAAATATTTGACAGACATTGTCAAATATCCCCTAGGGGCACCCCCCAACACTGGTTGAGAACCACTGGCCTAACACCAAGAATTATTTTCTCAATATCTAACATTTAGAGTCACCTTTGAACACATTTTTTAAAAAAAAACAGTTTGGCCGGCTACAGTGGCTCATGCCTGTAATCCCAGCATTTGGGAGGCCAAGGTGGGCAGATCACCTAAGGTCGGGAGTTTGAGACCAGCCTGATCAACATGCAGAAACCCTGTCTCTACTAAAAATACAAAAATTGGGCGTGGTGGTGCGTGCCTGTAATCCCAGCTACTCGGGAGGCTGAGGCAGGAGAATTGCTTGAACTCGGGAGGCAAAGGCTGCGATGAGCCAAGATTGCACCATTGCACTCCAGCCTGGGCAACATGAGCAAAACTCCACCTCTAAATTAGTAAATAGAAAAAAGCAGTTTGCTGGTCCAAAAATGTACCTAAAATACTTTGAATATCATGGCTTTTCTTATTCAACTGGCAAGGACAAGCAATTACTTTTTAAAAGATAAAAATTACATCCTACTAGTTTTCTGAGCCGACTATCCTACCTACCATCTTCAACATGCTTTATTTAAAAAGACAGAGGTTGGGCGCGGTGGCTCAAACCTGTAATCACAGCACCTTGGGAGGCCGAGGCAGGTGGATCCCCCGAGGTCAGGAGTTCGAGACCAGCTTTGCCAACATCGTGAAACCCCATCTCTACTAAAAATACAAAAAATTTGCTGGGCGTGGTGGTGGGTGCCTGTAATCCCAGCTGCTCAGGAGACTGAGGCAGAAGAATTGGTTGAACCTGGGAGGCGGAGGTTGCAGTGAGCCGAGATCGCATCACTGCACTCCAGCCTGGGCAACAAGGGTGAAACTCAGTCTCAAAAAAAAAAAAAAACAATTAAATAAATAAAAATAAAAAGACAGAATCCTAAAGTCTAAGGTTAAAGTCTCTGGGCTTTCATCTTTAGAAAACTGAATGCCAGCCGGGAGCGATGGCTCACACCTGTAATCCTAGCACTGTGGGAGGCCAAGGCAGGCTGATTTCCTAAGCTCAGGAGTTCGAGACCAGCCTTGGGCAACACAGTGAAACCACGTCTCTACTAAAATACAAAAGAGAAATTAGCCAGGCATGGCAGTGTGCGCCTGTAGTCCCAGTTACTCAGGAGGCTGAGGGAGGAGAACTGTCTGAACCCAGGAGGTGGAGGTTGGAGCGAGCCAAGATCGCGCCAGTGCACTCCAGCCTGGGCGACAGAGCGAGATTCCATCTCAAAACAAACAAACAAACAAACAAACAAAAAACCAGAAAAGTGAATGCCTAGAATCCCTTTAAGGATTTTACTTTTCTTTAAAAATCAAAGGATCAAGTTTACCTCCTGCCAGTGAACACTGAGTATCATATTGCCAACCAGATGTTTGGGTGGAGTCTGTTCCATTTGAAGTAGAAGAAGAAAGGGTAGATGTTGCTGCTTCCTTTGGCTCTGGTCGAGGTGGAGTTGGAGGTGGAGCAGAAGCTCCTACAGGAGCTGCAGGCTGAGGAGCTGTTATGGCATCGATCTCCTTCAGTATGAAAAGAGTAACAAATGCAGTAATTATATCAAAAACAAGAAACTTAAGGAAATGGCAATCACTTTTTAAAAATTCTACATGAGCCGGGCACAGTGGCTCACACCTACAGTTCCAGCACTTTGGGAGGCTGAGACAGGTGGATCACTTGAGGTCAGGAATTCGAGACCAGGCTGGCCAACATGGTGAAATCTCCCTCTACTAAAAATAAAAAAAATTAGGCTGGGCACGGTGGCTCACGCCTGTAATCCCAGCATTCTGGGCGGCCAAGGCGGGCGGATCACCTGAGGTCAGAAGTTCAAAACCAGCCTGGCCAATATGGTGAAAACTTGTCTCTACTAAAAATACAAAAATTAGCTGGATGTGGTGGTGGGCACCTGTAATCTCAGCTACTTGGGAGGCTGAGGCACTAGAATTGCTTGAATCTGGGAGGCGGGGATTGCAGTGAGCCGAGATCACGCTACTGCATTCCAACCTGGGTGAAAGAGCAAGACTCTGTCTCAAAAAAAACAAAAAACAAAAAAAAAAGAATACAATTATTATCGGGCGTGGTGGCACATGCCTGTAATCCCAGCTACTCAAGAGGCTGAGGTGGGAGAATTACTTGAACCTGGGTGGCAGAGGTTGCAGTGGGCCAACATCACGCCACCACATTTCAGCCTGGGTGACAGTAAGACCCAGTCTCGAGGGAGAAAAAAAAAATTCTAGATACTCATTCTAAGCTTCTCAAATCAAAACCCTCATCTTCCAATTATACAAGCTCCCCAGTCTCTTCTAATTTGCCTTTCTTCTCTTTGAAAGCTTTACAAAAAGAAAAGGGAGGTGGTGGCTCACGCTTGTAATCCCAACACTTTGGAAGGCCGAGGTGGGTTGATCACCTGAGGTCAGGAGTTTGAGACCAGCCTGGCCAACATGGTGAAACCCCGTCTCTACCAAAAATACAAAAATCAGCTGGGTGTGGTGGCACATACCTGTAGCCCCAGCTACTCGGGTGCACATACCTGTAGCCTCAGCTACTTGAACCCAGGAGACAGGTTGCGGTGAGGCGAGATCGTACCGCTGCACTCGAGACTGGGCAACAGAGTGAGATTCTATCTCAAGAAAAAAAAAAAAAAGGAGAGACAGCCAGGTGTGATGGCTCACACCTATAATCCCAGCACTTTGGAAGGCCGAGGTGGGAGGATCGCTTCAGCCCAAGAGTTCAAGACCAGCCTGAGCAACACAGTGAGACCCCATCTCTTAAAGTTAAACAAAACAAAACAAAAAGAGAGATAGAGATCGGGAGAAATACAAGAGAGTGTTGGAGGGAGAGGGAGAAAGGAGGAGGAAGACATTGAACTGACAAGTACGCTGACCACTTAAGATCCAGGTCCCAAAGTAGCTTCAGTAACTAAAACTCCAAACGAAAGCACCACTAACCGCTAGGAAGTTGGCCAATGTACTATCAATATCAGTTGACTGGTTTCCATTTGTCTCTTTGGATTGTGCTAGTTTTTCGGAAACATCATTGTCATCGTCATCACTGTCAGCATAAGCACCAAGCAAGCATAGACCGCCTAGAAACAAAAAGGTAAACAGTATTTGTAACAACAATGTCAATATGTCCTAAGAAGCATCTAAAGCGGAAGTATAACATGTTTTTTTTAAACTTACTTACAGATTAGAACATAACCGCAAAACTAATAATCACTGAACTACCACAGAAGAATAAATTACATCGTATGGTTAAAGCTAATAAAAATTGATCTATAGGCCTGGTGCAGTGGCTCAACGCCTGTAATCCCAGCACTTTGGGAGGCCGAGGTGGGTGGATCATGAGGTCAGGCGTTTTGAGACCAGCCTGGGCAACATGGTGAAACCCCATCTCTATTAAAAATACAAAAAATTAGCCAGGCCTGGTAGCACGTGCCTGTAGTCCCAGCTAGTGAGGCAGGAGAAGTGCTTGAACCTGGGAGGCAGAGGTTGCAGTGAGCCAAGATCACGCCACTGCACTCCACCCTGGGCAAAAGAGTAAGACTCTGTCTCCGGGGGTTAAAAAAAAAAAAAAAAAATTGATCTGGGCTGGGCATGGTGGCTCACACCTGTAATCCCAGCACTTTGGGAGGCTGAGGCGGGCAGATCACCTGAAGTCAGGAGTTCAAGACCAGCCTGACCAACATGGAGAAACCCTGTCTCTACTAAAAATACAAAATTATCCAGGTGTGGTGGCACATGCCTGTAATCCCAGCTACTCAGGAGGCTGAAGCAGAAAAATTGCTTGAACTCGGGAGGCGGAGGTTGCGGTGAGCTGAGATCACGCCACTGCACTCCAGCCTGGGCAACAACAGTGAAAATCCGTCTCAAAATAAATAAATAAATAAAATAAAAAATAAAAAAACATGTTGATCTATGAGCCAGGCAACACAGCTTATGTCTACAGACCCAACTTCTTCGGGAGGATCTGAGGCAGGAAGATCATTTGAGCCCAGAATCTGAGACCAGCCTCGAAAACATAGTGAGACCTTGTCTATCCCATAAAAACAAAAACAAAAAAAAAAAAAAGGGAAAAGGAAAAAGAATAAAAATTTAGCCGAGCATACGGCTGAGGTGCAAGGATAGCTTGAGCCCAGGAGGTTGAGGCTGCATTAAGCCGAAACATCTCCACTGTACTCCAGCCAGGGTGACAAAGTGAGACTGACCATGTCTCCAAAAAAAAAACAAAAACAAAAAAAATCGAGAACAAGAAAATTAATCTGCATAGTTATTTCAATCAATTATTCAATCTCACTCTCTTTCCAAATTGTTCATAGATAGTATATCTTGATTTTAGAATTTGGTGATTAAAGTGTTTACTTCAAACTGAGCCAATTACAGTGTAGCAGCTGAAACAAAGACTTTCAAAAACTAAAGAAATAAAGACTTTCAAAGTTAAAAACGAAGCTTTTAATCAATGATTATTCCTCAAATAGGAAGTGACAGAAATTAAAAACATGAAGTGACAGGAATTAAAAATGGGGCTCAACATGGCTAAAACCAATGATCAATGTCTTCCTCAAATTTAAGTGGTATCAGGTATGGCCTCTGTAATGCTGCTATGCCATTTCCTTTTGGATCATCTGTGGCTACTCCAAGATTACAATTAACAATATAATACATAGAGTATTATTATATGTATTATAAACACATAAAATGTTAAATTCTAGCTAGACTTTTCCAGCTATTACTTATATTAAATTTCACAGCGCTGACACATTCTACGCTCACTAAAAAGTTGGTAAATGAACAGATTTATCGAAAGTTAAATCTAGTTTTGTGTGTCATACATCCCATACATAAACTCAAAGGTCACCTAAAAGTAAACATAAATTGTTCCATTAATCATGTAGGAGTTCATATTCAGTGCCTTAGTATCGTAATTCCTGCCTTCATTTTTTTCTTTCTGTATGTAGGTTAAGTTTTTTGTTGTTGTTGTTATACTTTAAGTTCTAAGGTACATGTGCACAATGGTGCAGGTTTATTACATATGTATACATGTACTATGTTGGTGTGCTGCACCCATTAACTCATCATTAACATTAGGTATTTCTCTTAATGCTATCCCTCCCCCACCCCCGACCCCATGACAGGCCCCGGTGTGTGATGTTCCCCACCCTGTGTCCAAATGTTCTCATTGTTCAATTCCTACCTATGAGTGAGAATATGTGGTGTTTGGTTTTCTGTCCTTGCGATAGTTTGCTCAGAATGATGGTTTCCAGCTTCATCCATGTCCCTACAAAGGACATGAACTCATCCTTTTTTATGGCTGCATAGTATTCTATGGTGTATATGTGCCACATTTTCTTAATCCAGTCTATCATTGATGGACATTCGGGTTGGTTCCAAGTCTTTGCTATTGTGAATAGTGCTGCAGTAAACATAACGTGTGCATGTGTCTTTATAGCAGCATGATTTATAATCCTTTGGGTATATACCCAGTAATGGGATCGCTGGGTCAAATGGTATTTCTAGTTCTAGATCCTTGAGGAATCACCACACTGTCTTCCACAATGGTTGAACTAGTTTACACTCCCACTAACAGCATAAAAGCGTTCCTATTTCTCCACATCCTTTCCAGCATATGTAGGTAAGTTCTTAAATAGCAATTTTATTTTGAGATGGAGTCTCGCTCTGTCCCCCAGGCTGGAGTGCAGTGGCTCCGCTCACTACAAGCTCTGCCTCTCAGGTTCACGCCATTCTCCTGCCTCAGCCTCCTGAGTAGCTGGGACTACAGGCGCCCGCCACGCCCGGCTAATTTTTTTGTATTTTTAGTAGAGATGGGGTTTCACCGTGTTAGCCAGGATGGTCTTGATCTCCTGACCTCGTGACCCGCCCACCTCGGCCTCCCAAAGTGCTGGGATTATAGGCGTGAGCCACCGCACCCGGCTGAGACGGAGTCTTGCTCTGTTGCCCAGGCTGAAGTGCAGTGGCGCAATCTTGGCTCATTGCAACCTCCACCTCCAGGGTTCATGCGATTCTCCTGCCTCAGCCTCCCGAGTAGCTGGGATTACAGGTGTGCACCACCACACCTGGGTAATGTTTGCATTTTTAGTAGAGATGGGGTTTCGCTATGTTGGCCTAGCTGCTCTTGGACTCCTGACCTCAAGTGATCTGCCCACCTCGGCCTCCCAAAGTGCTGGGACTACAGGCATGAGCCACCACACATAGCCTCTAAACATCAATTTCTAAAGTTTGATTTGTTTATGTATATATGTAAGAGATACGGTCTTGCTCTATTGCCAAGGCAGAAGCAGTGGATCACTACATCCTCAAACTCCTGGCCTCAAATGATTCTCTTGCCTCAGCATCCTGAGTGGATGACTAGAGTCACAACCCACCATGCCTGGCTAATTTATTTTATTTTTTATTTTATGCAGAGATGGAATCTCCTATGTTGCCTAGGCTGGTCTCATCCTGTCCTCATGTGATCTTCCTGCCTTGACTTCCCAAAATGTTAGGCAAAATTTTTCATTTCTTTTTTTTGAGACAGGGTCTCACTCTGGCACAAGTGAACTGGTGCGATCACAGCTCACTGCAGCCTTGACCTCCTGAGCTCAACCAATCTTCCCACCTCAATCAGGCTCCTGTGTAGCTGGGACTAGAGATGCGCACCACTGCGCCTGGCTAACTTTGGTAGAGACGGGGTTTTGCCATGTTGCCTAGGCTCATCTCGAACTCCTGGTCACAAGCCATCCTCCTGCCTCAGTCTCCCATGTAGCTAGGACTACAGGCCTACGCCACCACACTTGGCATTTTTTAAGCACACAAAAGGTTTCAATCTGTTGCTCAGTTTGGTCTTGAATTCCTGAGCTCAAGCAATCCCCTGCCTGAGCCTCCCAAAGTGCTGACATTACAGGTGTGAGCCACCTCGTCTGACCACAAAATATAGGTGTGAGCCACCTCACCTGATCACAATAGTATTTTAAACTGGTAAGAAAGATATTTACATGGACGTTTGTGGACAGGCATGGTGGCTCATGCCTGTAATGCCAGCACTTTGGGAGGCTGAGGCAGGTGGATCACGAGGTCAGATCAAGACTATCCTGGCCAACATGGTGAAATCCCACCTCTACTAAAAACAAAAAATTAGCTGGCTGTGGTGGTGCGCGCCTGTAATCCCAGCTACTCAGGAGGCTGAGGCATGAGAATTGCTTGAACCCGGAAGGTGGACATTGCAGTGAGCTGAGATCACGTCACTGTATTCCAGCCTGGTGACAGGGCGAGACTCCGTCTAAAAAAAAGCGGGGGGGAAAAGAGAGAGAAATTTGCAAGGACGTTTCTTAGATAGTGTCTCTAATTTTTTTTTTTTTTTTGAGATAGAGTCTCACACTGTCACCCAGGCTGGAGTGCAGTGGCACAATCTCAGCTCAGTGCAACCTCCGCCTCCCGGGTTCAGGTGATTCTCTTGCCTCAGCCTCCCGAGTAGCTAGGATTAACAGGCGCACGCCACCACGACCTGCTAATTTTCGTACTTTTAGTAGAGACGGGGTTTCACCATGTTGGCCACGCTGGTCTCGAACTCCTGACCTCAAGTGATCTGCCCTTTTTGGCCTCCCAAAGTGCTGGGATTACAGGTGTGAGACCTGCGCCTGGCTTTTTTTTTTTGGTATGGAGTTTCGCTCTTCTTGCCCAGGCTGGAGTGCAATGGTGCAGTCTTGACTCACTGCAACCTCTGCCTCCCAGGTTCAAGTGATTCTCCAGCCTCGGTCTCCCAAGTAGCTGGGATTATAGGCGTGCACCACCACGCCTGGCTAATTTTTTTGTATTTTTAGTAGAGATGGGGTTTCACCATGTTGGCCAGGCTGCTCTCGCACTCCTGACCTCAAGTGATCTGCCTGCCTTGGCCTCCGAAAGTGCTGAGATTACAGGCGTGAACCATGGCGCCCGGCCCAATTTTCTTGATATTCTGAACAAAATGTATTCAGCTTTATAAGAGCAGAACTACCAAAGGAGAAACTTCTGTATGAAATAACGCCACACTTTTGTATACAGTACTGATGGATTCTGGAAAGGAGAGTGGGAAATTTTATTTTTAAATAAAAATACTGGCCGGGCACGGTGGCTCATGCCTGTAATCCCAGCACTTTGGGAGGCCAAGGCGGGTGGATCACCTGAGGTCAGGAGTTCAAGATTGGCTGGCCAACATGGTGAAACTCATCTCTACTAAAAATTCAAGAAAAGGAGCTGGGCGTGGTGGCAGGCACCTGCAATCCCAGCTACTTGGGAGGCTGAGGCAGGAGAATCACTTGAACCCAGGAGGAGGTGGTTACAGTGAGCCGAGGCTGTGCCATTGCACTCCAACCTGGGGAACAAGAACAAAACTCTAACTCAAAATAAATTAATTAAAAATAAAAATACTTCTAATGACAATCATAGATATAATCACTTTCAGTAAAAAGTTTCAATCAGGTAAGCTGCATGGTATTTTCATTACAAAATTTCCCAACAAGAGGTAGTTCCCCAGGTCCACAGGCAAAATCGGCTCTGCCTATTCCCTTTCTTCACCTAAGAGCTTTTCACCTATGGACAAACTTCTTCTAAACTCCTAAAAACATAATAAATTAGCCAAGAAAATGAAACTTATTAAGCCTAGTGTTTGTGAGAAATTCAGAGAGACATCATAAATTGATCAAACATTTTTTTTTTTTTTTTTTTTGAGACAGAGTCTTGCTCTGTCACCCAGGGTGAAATGTAATCACATGATCTCGGCTCACTGCAGCCTCTGTTTCCTGGGTTCAAGCGACTCTCCTGCCTCAGCCTACCAAGTAGTTGGGATTACAAGTGCGTGCCAATGTAATTTTTGTATTTTTTTGTTTTTTTTTTTTTTGGAGATGGAGTCTCACTGTCACCCAGGCTGGAGCGCAGCAGCACAACCTTGGCTCACTGCAACCTCTGCCTCCCGTGTTCAAGCGATTTTCCTGCCTCAGCCTCCCGAGCAGCTGGAATTAGAGGAGTGCACCACCAACCACAGGTAATTTTTTTGTATTTCTAGTAGAGATGGGATTTCACCATGTTGGCCAGGCTGATCTAGAACTCCCGACCTCAGGTGATTCACCCGCTTCAGGCTCCCAAAGTGCTGGGATCACAGGCGTGAGCCACCCAGCCTGGTCTTTTCTATTTTCGTAGAGACAGGTTTTCACCATGTTGCCAGGCTGGTCTCGAACTCTTGACGTCAGGTGATCCACCTGCCTTGGCCTCCCATAGTGTTGGGAGGCGGCAGCCACAGTGACCGCCTAGATTCCATATATCTTAAGTGAAATTTGGCAACAGGTACCAAGAGCTACAAAACTCAAGTTTATTTTATATAGTTTCATCTTTGAGACTATAATACCAAGACATAACTCCAAAAAAACTTTGCTCAAAGCTTCTGGTGGCTTGCTTGAAACAACTAAAATCTGTAAACACTCAAATGCTCTCAAACAGTGGACTGGCAAAGCAAATCATAGGACATACCTGATTTATTACCATTTTGTGATAAATCAGACTATTATAGAATCACATGAAATATTACTAAAGGGATTAAAAGTAATGCTAAAGGAATAAAAGCAAGTCATAAAATACATACAAAATTTAATTAAATCTCAGAAAATACAGTGTATATACTGTTAACAGGAATGAAGTTAGAGTAACACTGAAAATAAACGTTCACATTATCAGGTAAAATTGCTTTATCTTAGAAAAATCTCAGAGGCTGGGCATGGTCGCTCACCGCTCTAATCCCAGCACTTTGGGAGGCTGAGACGAGTGGATTACAAGGTCAGGAGTTCAAGACCAGCCTGGCCAAGATGCTGAAACCCTGTCTCTACTAAAAATATAAAATTAGCTGGGGATGGTGGCATGAGCCAGTAATCCCAGCTACTAGGGAGGCTGCAGCAGGAGAATCACTTTAACTCAGGCGACGGAGGTTGCAGTGAGCCAAGATCACACCACTGCACTCCAGCCTGGGCGACAGAACAAGACTCCATCTCAAAGCAAAAAAAAAAAGAGAAAAATCTTAGAAACAAAATCAACAGGATGGTCACGGTGGCTCACATCTATAATCCTAGCATTTTGGGAGGCCAAGGAAGGAGGATCACTTGAGCCTCCTTGAGAACAGCCTGGGCAATAAAGTGAGACCATGTCTACAGAAAGAAAAAAAATTTTATTAAAAACAACAACAAAGCTGGCCAGGTGTCACTGACCTATAAGCAGGTACTAAAGAACTCCAAGAATTTAATTTCTTTTTTTTTTTTGAGACAGAGTTTCGCTCTTGTTGCCCAGGCTGGAGTGCAATGGCGTGATCTTGGCTCACCGCAACCTCTGCCTCCTGGGTTCAAGCGATTTTCCTGCCTCAGCCTCCTAAGTAGCTGGAATTACAGGCATGCGCCACCATGCCCAGCTAGTTTTGTATTTTTAGTAGAGACGGGGTTTCTCCGTGCTGGTCAGGCTGGTCTCGAACTCCAGACCTCAGATGATCCGCCAGCTTCAGCCTCCCAAAGTGCTGGGATTAGAGGCGTGAGGCACAGCGTCTGGCTGTTTTTTTTTTTTGAGATGGAGTCTTACTCTGTCACCCAGGCTGGAGTGCAATGGTGTGGTCTAGCTCATTGCAACCTCCGCCTCCCGGGTTCAAGCGATTCTCCCACCTCAGCCTCACGAGTAGCTGGGACTACAGGTGCGTGCCACCATACCCAGCTAATTGTATTTTTAGTAGCGATGGGGTTTCACTATGTTGGCCAGGATGGTCTTGAACTCCCGACCTTGTCATCCGCCCGCCTTGGCCTCCCAAAGTGCTGGAATTACACGCGTGAACCACCGTGCCCCGCCTATTTTTTTAAATTATTTTTGACACAGGGTCTCATTCTGTCACCTAGACTGGGTTGCAGTGGCATGATCATATATAGCTGACTGCAGCCTTGAACTCCTGGGCTCAAGCGATCCTCCTGCCTCAGTCTCCCAAGTAGCTAGGCCCACAGGTGCTCATCAGCACGTCTAGCTAATTTTAAACTTTTTTGTAGAGGTGGGGGTCTCGGCCAAGTGTGATGGCTCATGCGTTTAATCCCAGCACTTTGGGAGGCTGAGGCAGGTGGATTACTTGAAGTCAGGAGTTCCAGACCAGCCTGGCCAACATGGTGAACCGTCTCTACTGAAAATACAAAAATTAGCTGGGCATGGTGGCGTGGGCCCGTAATCCCAGCTACTTGGAAGGCTGAGGAAGGAGAATCGCCGGAGCCCAGGACACAGAGACTGCAGTGAGCCAAGATCACGCCACTGCACTCCAGCCTGGGCAACAGAGACTCTGATTCCAAAAAAAAAAAAAAAAAAAAAGAGTCTCTCTGCTGCCTAGGCTGCTCTTGAACTCTAGGATTCAAGTGATCCTCCCACCTCAGCCTCCCAAAGCACTAGGATTACAGGCATGAGCCACCCATTTTCAGGGGCGTTAAAAACTAAGCTCCTGGGCTGGGCACAGTGGCTCATGCCTGTAATCCCAGCACTTTGGGAGGCCAAGGCAGGAAGATCACTTAAACCCTAGAGTTGTAAGAACAAGTCCTTGACTACTGTTAAGATGAAGATGTGTTGCAGGCTGGGCGTGGTGGCTCAGACCTGTGATCACCGCACTTTGGGAGTCCAAGGCGGGTGGATCACTTGAAGTCAGGAGTTCAAGACCAGTCTGGCCAACATGGCAAAACCCCGTCTCTACTAAAAATACAAAAATTAGCCGGTAATCCCAGCTGCTCAGGAGGGTGAGGTAGGAGAAATCACTTCAACCCGGGAGGCAGAGGTTGCAGTGAGCCAAGATCACACCACTGCACTTGAACTCAAAAAAAAAAAAAAAAAAAGATTTGTTGCTACTTAAAGCCTGAGAAAGCATGGTCATTCTTCAGAGCCATAGTGTTTTGTTTTGTTTTGTTTTGTTTTGAGACGGAGTCTTGCTCTGTCGCCCAGGCTGGAGTGCAGTGGCGTGATCTCGGCTCACTGCAAGCTCCGCCTCCCGGGTTCACGCCATTCTCCTGCCTCAGCCTCCCGAGTAGCTGGGACTACAGGCGCCCGCCACCACGCCCAGCTAATTTTCTGTATTTTTAATAGAGATGGGGTTTCACCGTGTTAGCCAGGATGGTCTCGATCTCCTGACGTCATTATCCACCTGCCTCGGCCTCCCAAAATGCTGGGATTACAAGCGTGAGCCACTGTGCCTGGCCCAGAGCCATAGTTTTTAGCAGTCTTTTTTTGAGAAAGGTGTTGACCCCTCAAACCTCAACATTCTTACTTACCTTTGAGGGATGGTGCTACACAATTTGTATATCAGCTACCTATATCAGGCAGTAAATTATTTCTTAGGTATATACCTCTTATGGCTTGAATGTGCCCCTAAAAAGGATGTTTTGGAAATTAAATCCCCAGTGCAACAGTGTTGGGAGGTAGGGGCCTAATGGAAGATGTTGACATCACGAGAGGACATTCAAACCACAGGAGTAATCAAGGAAGTTTCTCCTAGAAACATTTAAATTTATATTTTATTTTATGTATTTATTTGAGACAGGTTCTTACGGTCGCCCAGGCTGGAGTGCAGTGGCAAAACCTCAGTTCACTGCAACCTCCACCTCCTGAGTAGCTGCGATTATAGGTGTGCGCCACCATGCCCAGCTAATTTTTATGTTTTTAGTAGAGATGGGGTTTCACCATGTTGGCCAGGCTGGTCTCGAACTCCTGAACTCAGGTGATCCGCCTGCCTCAGACTACCAAAGTGCTGGGATTACAGGCGTGAGCCACTGCTCCTGGCTAAATTCTACATATTTTAAATGAGTGTTAAGTCTCAAATGAAATAACATATGCAGTTGGCAAATACAAAATGGTATAATGTAGTTCTGAAATTTCTCTCACATTCAAATTTTAGCTTTCTAACCCACACTGGGGTGTTTTGTTTGTTTTTTTTTTTTTAGGTGGCAAATGGTGAGGAGAGAGGAATAAGCATCTATCATTTTAAGCATCAAATAGTACAAAAAGTATTCTGAACTGAAAAGAAATTACTACCAATTATAGAATATTTAATATTAAAACACATTTTACTCTTCCAAGATACACAGAGTAGAGAAAATTAACATTCCTGGCACTTACTATGTCACATCTGGAAATATCTCAGAGATAAAAGATCCATTTTACAGATTAATGAGGTTCAACCCAATTAGTAATTGCGCCAAAGTCTAAGTGTGAATGCCAGAGTGATGAATTGAACCCAGGTTTGTCTACAAAACCACTGTTGCAACTATGGCATTCCTTTGTACTTGAAAATATTTAATAAGATCAATTTCCAGGTCCACCAATGTTTGTTAGGTAACCAATCAAGCCAGAGTGTTAGAAAAGGAATAGGAGTTGGCATGCCTAATGAACACCAAGCTAGTGGGAGGACCAGAAAACTAGTTATAAAATAGCATCAGGAAAAAAAAACAGTAAAAAACGTTTTGGGTAAAGAAAAACAACAAATTTTGCACTGGTCAAAGTGTATATACATCAACATTCTCTCACAAACAAAAATAATCTTAAATCATATTTTTGGGAGAAATAATGTTAGCAACACTAAAGCATTCAGCAAAACATTCTATGTACAAACCCAACTTGACTTTAATGAAAGACGTGGGAGAAAAAATGTAAAAAACAAAACAAAAGCATACCTGTTGCTTTAACAGCTGTGGGTCTAGTGGTCATGACTGGTTTTGGAGGATTCTGAACAACTCTAGGAACCTCCTGCACCGCTTCCTGTTCATCTGGATTAAAAAAAAAGAAAAGAAAAGAAAAGAAAAGAAAAGAAAAGAAAAGAAAACTGCAGTCAGATTCCAGACCAGAGAAAACACTAGAGGTGACAAACCAACCTTTGATTTAACATTTCAGCTCTAGATTCCATCAATTTTTTAAAAAGTGCATTTCGGATGGGTTCGCACCTGTAATCCCAGCACTTTGGGAGGCCAAGACGGGGGGGGGGGGGGGCCACTTGAGGTCAGGGGTTCAAGACCAGCCTGGCCACCATGGTGAAACTCCATCTCTACTAAAAATACAAAAAATAAAAAAATTGCTAGGCATGATGGCACTCGCTTGTAATCCCAACTACTCGGGAGGCTGAGGCAGAAGGATCGCTTGAACCCAGGAGGCAGAGGTTACTGCAGCCTGGGCCACAGAGGAAGACTCCATCTCAAAAAAAAGAAAGGACATTTCATTGACCCAAATAATTGGGAGATAATAAACACAGAGCTGGAATCTTTTTTTTTTTTTTTTTTTGAGACGGAGTTTCGCTCTTGTCGCCCAGGCTGGTCAAACTCCTGACCTCGAGTAATCCGCCTACCTCGGCCTCCCAAAGTGCTGGGATTACAGGCATGAGTCACCGTGCCCTGGAGTCTTTCATCTGCTTACAAACTTCAACATCAAGGGAAGACTCTTACCATGGTAAATAAAAATTATTAATACATCTGCATGGCCGGGCGCGATGGCTCTCGCCTGTAATGATCGCTTGAGCCCTGGAGTTCGAGACCAGCCCGGGAAACATGAACTCCGTCTCTACTGAAAATACAAAAATTAGCCGGGCATGGTGGCAGGGTCCTGTAGTCCCAGCTACCCAGGAGGCTAAGGCGGGAGGATCGCTTGAACCCGGGAGGTGGAGGTTGCAGTGAGCCCAAGATCGCGCCACTGCACTCCAGCCTGGGCGACAGATTGAGACATTGTCTCGAAAAAAACAAAACAAAACTCTTAAAAAGTTACATCTGCAATACTTACAAATACATACAAAAACAGTAAGTATTCTCCAGGCTATGATAGGACCTTTACAAGACACACCAAACACTGCTATTGCGGATTTTTTCCAATTAACGAACCAGCGTGATCTCTGAACATGTGAAACGGTCGCGGCTTCTCCGGCGCCTAGTCCTGGAGTCACTTTTAATCTAAGCACCACTCCAGTGAGAACCACACAAATACTTAGGAACCTACCAGCTCCATTTCTCCAGCAGTTCTGCTAGTGTGGGGATGCTTACTAGCTGGAATATTAAGAGCTTTTTCTAAACGTCTCTATCCCCGTTTCGACAAAACCGAAAGGAGGCAGATGACGTGTGGAAAGGCCTGGCCCACAGTCACAGGCCGCGCACGCGGAAACTCATCCTCACATCCACCCTCTGCGTTACCCAAAACCGACCCGGGGCGTTTGGGAGACTCAGGATGCCCGAACTTCGGTCATATTTCAAACGTTCCCGGGGCAAGCCCTGCACCACAGATGGCGCCTCGGGCTTGGCCCGGGCCGAGGGCGCAGAACTCGGCCTGGCCCTTCTGCGGCCCGGAGCCCAGGGCCGCCCCGCCTGCAGGCCCGCAGCAGGCAGGCCTCGGAAGCCGACCTCGCCCGCCTCCCTCGCCGGGTCTGGCCAGGCGCCGTGAGGAGCCTAGGCCGCAAGCCCTGAGCTCGAGTTCAGGTCCCCCCGCGCACCCTTGCCTTCTGAAGGCGAGTCGTCCGAGGCCGCGGCGGCAGTCACCGCGGTGGTGGTGGTCGTCGCCGCCGACGGGGCGGGCTGGCTGGGGACCGCCGCGGTTGAGTCCGGCTCAGTGTCGGGTTCCGGCTCCGGGTCCCGGCCCGGCGTGCTGCCCCGAGGACCCGGCGGAGAGAGTTGCAGGATGGGCCTACGGCCGGGTACCGCCCGGGACTTCTTCCCCATCGCGAGCCCAAGCGCGAGCAGAGAGCGTCGGGCGGCCGAGAGGGGCGGGCACTGGAGGCTGGGCGCTGGGCCCTGGGCGCTGCGACGCGTAATCAATATTCATACACCGTGACACCGCCTCCAGCCCGGATCCGCTTTCAACCAGCGGAGCACGCGCTTGCGCAAGCGCCTCGGACCCTTCGGCTCTTCTGGCTCCTCCTCACCAGGAGAAAGGGCGGGATTACCAACTGCGCTAGGCGATTGGCTGTTTTGACCCAGAGAAGGGACCGGTGGCCAATGGAAAAGGAAAAAGGGTGAGAGTCCAGCCAATAGTGCGGTAGGGCCTGAATTAGAACGACTTCCCCACTTCCGTCGGGTTCCACCCATGCGCTTTCCCCAAGCCTTTTCTTTGCCTACTTGTCCTCCATCTTGTGGCTATTCTCGGCCTAGAGTTTCATGTTGTCTGTCTTCTAGAAAGGTGTGCTGCTGGGCCCAGCTCACTCACGCCTGTA
The DNA here is from genome assembly GCF_000001405.40 of Homo sapiens. NCBI lineage: Eukaryota > Metazoa > Chordata > Mammalia > Primates > Hominidae > Homo > Homo sapiens. Next base: position 200,147 of record NW_019805496.1, read on the forward strand.
ATCTCAACACTTTGGGAGGCCGAGGCGGGTGGATCACGAGGTCAGGAGTTCAAGACCAGCTTGTCCAAGATGGTGAAACCCCGTCTCTACTAAAAATACAAAAGATTTAGTCGGGCGCGGTGGCAGGCGCCTGTAATCCTAGCTAGTCGGGAGACTGAGGCAGGCGAATCGCATGAACCCGGCGGCAAAGGTTACAGTGAGCCGAGATCGCGCCACTGCACCCCACCCTGGGTGACAGAGTGAGACTGTCTCAAGAAAAAAAAGAAAGGTGTGCTGTTTTCTGAGCCCTTCCCCACGTTTCGCCCGGATTATTGTGGCTTACTTTGGGTATAGCATTGAACATTAAATGGGACAGTGGGTCTTTTACGCTTTTGTAATTTCCTGCAGCACACAAATAGATGTCTCATATTTTCTCGCTTATTAGCTGGGAAAAATCACGAGATACTCCACTACCTACAAGGAAAAAGCCTAAAATTGTTGGGATGGCATACAGGAACCTTACCAGTTTTGTACTACTATCGTCAACATGCTTTAATTTACCCTTGCTTTAACACTGCCCCCTCTCCCGTCTCCTGCCTCTGGAGCCCGCCACTTGGAGCATCACCTCCCTCACTTTTCCTTTGCACTGACTGGAATAATTACTGCATCACATGATGAAAGTCTTTTATTGTTTCATCAGGGCGCAATGCAGACGCAGTGCAGGCGTGACCTCTCCTGCCCAGCCTCTCCCTGGCACTTGACATCCTGTTGACATCCGTCTCCCCTCTAAACTAAGGAATGCGAGTGGTATTTATTTTTATATCCGCAGCAGCTCAGTTCCCACTAAAAATATCTAATACTTACTGAGCTCTATGTGTCAGTCACCAAGCACTTTACACGTAGAATTGCATTTGATCTTTTAAAATGATTATTTCTAATTTTATTTTTAAACGTGTCTTGCTCTGTCATCCAGGTTGGAGTAACGTGGCATGATTATAGCCCACTGCATCCTCAAACTCCTGGGCTAAAGCCATTTTTTTTTTGAGACGGTGTCTCGCTCTGTTGCCCAGGCTGGAGTGCAATGGCGCAATCTCGACTCACTGCAGCCTCTGCCCTCCGGGTCCAAGCAACTCTCCTGCCTCAGCCTCCCCAGTAGCTGAGATAATAGGCGCCCACCACCACGCCTGGCTAATTTTTGTATTTTTAGTTGAGACAGGGTTTTGCCATGTTGGTCAGGCTGGTCTTGAACTCCTGACCTCAGGTGATCCACCCGCCTCGGCCTCCCAAAGTGCTGGGATTACAGGTGTGAGCCAGCGTGCCTGGCCTAATTTTTTAATTTTAATTTTAATTAATTTATTTTTGAGAGAGCTTCTCTCTGTCGCCAGGCTGGAGTGCGGTGGCACGATCTTGGCTCACTGCAATCTCTGCCTTCCAGGTTCAAGCGATTCCCCTGCCTCAGCCTCCTGAGTAGCTGGTACTACAGGCGCGCAGCACCTTGCCTGTCTAATTTTTTGTATCTTAGTAGAGATGTGGTTTCACCATATTGGCCAGGCTGGTCTAGATCTCCTGACCTCATGATCTGTCTGCCTTGGCCTCCCAAAGTGCTGAGATTACAGATTTTTTTTTGTATACAGAGTCGCCCAGGTTGGAAGGCAGTGGTGCGATTTTGGCTTAAGGGAGGAGACCACCCCTCATATTGTCTTATGCCCAGTTTCTGCCTCCAAAGAAAGAAAAAGTAAAAACTAAAAGGCAGAAATGAAATCCACAGGCAGACAGCCCGGCACCACACCCTGGGCCTGGTAGTTAAAGATTGACCCCTGACCTAATCGGTTATGTTATCTATAGATTAAAGACATCGTATAGAAAAGCACTGTGAAAATCCCTATCCTGTTTTGTTCCGATCTAATTACCGGTGCATGCAGCCCCCAGTCACTTACCTCCTGCTTGCTCAGTCGATCACGAACCCTCTCATGCGCACCACCTTAGAGCTGTGAGCCCTTAAAAGGGACAGGAATTGCTCACTCGGGCAGCTCGGCTCTTGAGACAGGAGTCTTGCCGATGCCTCTGGCTGAATAAACCCCTTCCTTCTTTAACTCGGTGTCTGAGGAGTTTTGTCTGCGGCTCGTCCTGCTACAGGCTCACTGCAACCTCCACCTCGTGGGTTCAAGCAATTCTCCCATCTCAGCCTCTGGAGTAGCTGGGACTACAGGCGCATGCCATCACCCCCACTAATTTTTGTATTTTTAGTAGAGACGTTTCACCATGTTGGCCAGGCTGGTCTTGAACTCCTGACCTCAAGTGATCTGCCTGCCTTAGCCTCCCAAAGTGTAGGGATTACAGACGTGAGCCACGGTGCCTGGCCTAATTTTTTTTTTTTTTTTAGAGGGAGTTTTGCTCTTGTCACCCAGGCTGGAGTGCAATGGCATGATCTCAGCTCACTGCAACTTCCGCCTCCTGGGTTCAAGCGATTCTCCTCCCTCAGCCTCCCGAGTAGCTGGAATTACAGGCACCCGCCACCACCCCCTACTAATTTTTTGCATTTTTAGTAGACGGGGTTTCGCCATGTTGGCCAGGCTGGTCTCAAACTCCTGACCTCAGGTGATCCACCCGCCTTGGCTTCCAAGAGTGCTAGGATTACAGGCCTGAGCCACCGTGCCTGGCCCGAAGAATTTGCTGGGTTTTTTTGTTTGTTTGTTATTATGTTTTGAGACGGAGTCTCGCTCTGTCACCCAGGCTAGAGTGCAGTGGTGCAATCTTGGCTCACTGCAAGCTCTGCCTCCCGGGTTCACGCCATTCTCCTGCCTCAGCCTCCCCAGTAGCTGGGACTACAGGCACCAACCACCACGCCCCGCTAATTTTTTTGTATTTTTAGTAGAGACGGGGTTTCACCGTGTTGGCCAGGATGGTCTCGATCTCCTGATCTCGTGATCCACCTGCCTTGGTCTCCCAAAGTGCTGCGATTACAGGCCTGAGCCACTGCGCCAGGCCAAGAATTTGCTGTTTTAAAGCTGTTAGCAGGCTGGGCGCAGTGGCTCATGCCTGTAATGCCAGCACTTTGGGAGGCCGACGTGGGCGGATCACAAGGTCAGGAGATCGAGATCATCCTGGCCAACACGGTGAAACCCCGTCTCTACTAAAAAAAATACAAAAAATTAGCCGGGCACGGTGGCGGGCGCCTGTAGTCCCAGCTACTGGGGAGGCTGAGGCAGGAGAATGGCGTGAACCCGGGAGGCAGAGTTTGCAGTGAACCAAGATCGCACCACTGCACTCCAGCCTGGGCAGTAGAGCGAGACTCCGTCTCAAAAAAAAAAAAGCTGTTAGCAATTTTCTAATTTATTTAATGAGGAAAGACAGTAAAATAAGGAGTTTTGTATAGGAACTTTGAGGCCAACATCTGGATTGAAAACTTTTCTTCAGTACCTTCCAGATATGAAGGCTTAGACAAGTTTCTTAACATCCCTAAACTTGTTTTTGCAACCACAAAATACATTAGTACCGGTATCCATAGACCCATAGGGTTGTTGTGAAATTTAAATTGTATCATAGTTTTTTTGAGTCTTGCTCTGTTGCCAGGCTGGAGTGCAGTGGCGTGATCTCCACCCACTGCAACCTCCACCTCCCAGGTTCAAGTGATTCTCCTGCCTTAGCCTCCTGAGTAGCTGGGACTACAGGTGCGTGCCACCACGTCCGGCTAATTTTTGTATGTTTAGTAGAGATGGGGTTTCACCATGTTGGCCAGGTTGGTCTCAAACTCCTGACCTCAGGTGATCCACCCGCCTTGGCCTCCCAAAGTGCTGGGATTACAGGCGTAAGCCATCATGCCCAGCCTGTATCATAGTTTTAAGACCTTTGCATTGCACCTGGAAAAAAATAAACGCTGGTACCTGTGGAGTCCTAATAAGGGAAAAGGAGTCAGGCTGGCAGGAGTAGGGGAGAACAAAAAGAAAAAGTAGATAAGCTCTAAGTCTGCCTTTCTTCATGATCCAGGACATACAGTCCTTCTGTGTAAGTAACTCACAATCTTCCTATGCTCAACTTATCACCAGAACCTTGGCTGATAGAACAATGCAAGTTAGCTCACAGCAACCTTGGCATTATCAATACTGCGTGTAGCCCTCTCCAGCATAAGCACCATTCTGTAAAATCCCCAGCAAGCATTTGTCTCCTTGTAGTCAGCTCCTCTCTTAGTGCCTGCCTGTTGCATCCTTGCAATGTATGTTTATACTACCTGCCTTTGTTTACCTATGACTGTCTTGGTAAGTTCCTTTACTGCCTGCAACACTGGCCCCAATTAGTTGTTACCTGAGAGCAGCTATTATTACTATTAATGATCCTTTTGTCTATACAAAAGTACAGGTAATATTATAAAACTGGCTGGAACTAAGTTGAGATTATGAGCTAAACCAAAAGTGTATAGAAATGTGAAAGGCTGTTTTCCTTGGGGGAAACATACATTTCTGGAGGTGATGGTTGTTTATGCTTATACCAAGAGTTCTCAACCATCTGGAGGGCATTAAAGCGATATAAAAATCTGAATCAGTTGGAGTGGGGTGGGAGTGCAGGACCTATTTCAATGTGCTTTATTTTAATGTAACTATTTATTTTTGAAACAGGGTCTTGCTCTGTTGCCCAGGCTGGAGTACAATGGCATGATCATGGCTCACTGCAGCCTTTTCCTCTTGAGGCTTAAGGGATCATCCCACCTCAGCCTCCCAAGTAGCTGAGACTACAGGTGCATGCCACCAATCCCAGCTAGTTTTTAAATTTTTGGTAGAGATAGGGTTTTGCCATGTTGTCTGTGCTGGTCTGGAACTCCTGGGTTCAAGCTGTCTGCCCATCTCAGTCTCCCAAAGCATTGGGATCACAAGCATGAGCCATTGCACTTTGCCAGTTTATGTATTTATTTATTTTGAGATGGAGTTTTGTTCTTGTCGCCCAGGCTGGAGTGCAATGATGCCATCTCAGCTCACTGCAACCTCTGCCTCCCTCCTGGGCTCAAGTGATTCTCCTGCCTCAGCCTCCCAAGTAGCTGGGATTACAGGTGTGTGCCATAACGCCTGGCTAATTTTTGTATTTTTAGTAGAGATGGGGTTTCACCATGTTGGCCATGGCTGGTCTCAAACTCCTGAACCTCAGGTGATCCACCTGCCTCGGCCTCCCCAAAGTGCTGGGATTACAGCTGCGAGCTACCGTGCCCGGCTGCCAGTTTATTTTTAAGTAAAGATAGGGTCTTGTTTTGTTTCCCAGGATAGACTCAAACTCTTGGCCTCAAGCCGTCCACCTTAGCCTACCAAAGTGCTGGGATTATAGTTGTGATGAACTGCAACCAGCTTGCTTTTTTAAAAAGCTACTTATTCTAATGCTTAGCCAGAGTTGATAACCATTGGCTTTTTTCCCTAGCTTTATTGAGGCATAATTGATAAAAATTGTATATATTTAAGGTATATAATGTGATGATCTGATGTACATATACATAATGAAATGATTACCACCATCAGTCGTTCAATGAAATTTATAGGAGGTTGGATGGGCGCGGTGGCTCATGCCTGTAATTCCAGCACTTTGGGACGCCGAGGCGGGCAGATCACAAGGTCAAGAGATCGAGACCATCCTGGCCAACGTGGTGAAACCCTCGTCTCTACTAAAAATACAAAAATTAGTTGGGCGTGGTGGCATGTGCCTGTAGTCCCAGCTACTCTCCGGAGGCTGAGGCAGGAGAATCACTTGAACCCAGGAGGCGGAGGTTGCAGTGAGCCGAGATGGCACCATTGCACTCCAGCCTGGTAACAGAGCGAGACTCTGTCTTAAAAAAAAAAAAAAAAAGAAAGAAAGAAATTTATAGGAGGCAAGGCTGGGCACGGTGGCTCATGCCTGTAATCCCAGCACTTCGGGAGGCTGAGGCAGGTGGATCACCTGAGGTCCAGAGTTCAAGACCAGCCTGACCAACATGGTGAAACCCCATCTCTACTAAAAATACAAAAAGTAGCCGGGTGTGTTGGCATGTGGCTGTAATCTCAGGTACTCAGGAAGTTGAGGCAGGAGACTCGCTTGAACCTGGCGGGTGGAGATCACAGTGAACTCAGATCGTGTCATTGCACTCCAGCCTGGGTGACAAGAGCAAAACTCCGTCTCAAAAAAAAAAAAAAAAGTATAGGAGACCATTATTTTGGACTGAGTTCCTGTACCAGGCCTCAACAGGCCATACCCAAATGGAGTTACTCATGCTAGAGTTCCATATCATTAAAGAAGTTGTTTGGCTGGACACGACACGATGGCTCATGCCTGTAATCCCAGAACTTTGGGAGGCTGAGGTTGGAGGATCACTTGAGTCCAGGATTTCAAGACCAGCCTGGGCAACATAGCAAGACCCCATCTCTATTAAAAAAAAGAAATGAAGTTGTTTATGTCACCATCTGGGAAATCAGGAGACAGAGATAATAGCCAAGTCCCCAAACAGGCCAGCTTTAGTCAGCATGATAAGGAAATCCCCTCTGTTTTAACCTTTACAAGGAAAGTAACTTTGAAACCATCTCCAGCCTGGGCAACATTGCAAAACTCCATCTCTACAAAAAATAATTTTTTTTTTTTTTGAGATGGAGTCTTGCTTTGTCTCCCAGACTGGGGTGCAGTGGCGCAATCTTGGCTCACTGCAAGCTCCACCTCCCGGGTTCACGCCATTCTCCTGCCTCAGCCTCCCGAGTAGCTGGGACTACAGGTGCCCGCCACCGCACCTGGCTAATTTTTGTATTTTTAGTAGAGACGGGGTTTCACTGTGTTAGCCAGGAAGGTCTCCATCTCCTGACCTTGTGATCCACCCGCCTCGGCCTCCCAAAGTGCTGGGATTACAGGCGTGAGCCACTGCGCCCAGCCAAAATAATAAAAATTTGCCTGTAGTCCCAGCTACTCTGAAGGCTGAGGCAGGAGAATCAACTAAGCCCTGGAGGTCCAGCCTGTAGTGAGCCATGATTGTGCCACTGCAGTCCACCTGGGGTGTGAGAACAAGACCCTGTCTAAATAAAAAAAGGAAGCCACCAAGCTGTGTTTTGTTGTTTTCTGCTTTCCTTAGCCTGTCTCTGTCCTCTGTTTAGCTTGTTGGAACACTCATTCTATTTTATGGAAGGAAGTGTTGCCCAATTCACACAAGTGATAAATAAAAGCTAATTAAGATCTTTAGGCTGGGCACAGTGGCTCATGCCTGTAGTCCCAGCGCTTCGGGAGGCTGAGGTGGGCGGATCATGAGGTCAAGAGTTCAAGACCAGCTTGGCCAACATGATGAAACCCCGTCTCTACTAAGAATACAGAAATTAGCCGAGCATGGTGGTACGCACCTGTAGTCCCAGCTACCTGGGAGGCTGAGGCAGGAGAATTGCTTAAACCCAGGAGGCGGAGGTTGCAGTGAGCCAAGGTCACGCCACTCCCATCCAGCCTGGGTGACAAAGCAAGACTCCATGTAGAAAAAAAGAAAAAAAAAATCTTTAAACTAAATTTGTTGCAATTTGTCTTTTGACAAAGTCAATTAACATATCCAGCACCTCATATGTTACCTTTTTGTTTGTGTATGGTGAGGAGCCTTAAAATATATTATCTTAGCAAATTTCAAGTGTACAATACAGTATGATTAACTGTAGTAACCATACTTATGTAAGTGAGTGCAGGTCTGGTGGCTCGCCACTTGGAGAGCCCCGAAACAAGAGCAAGGTATGGTGGAAAGAAATTTACCAAAACTAGCAATGGGGAAGTGGCTAGATTCACATCCAAAGCAACCACTTCAAATTTCTGGGGAGAAGGCAAGGGTTTAAAAAGGGAAACGATATTGGTGGCATGCAGGAGCTGTGCTGAGTACAAGGTCCATGTGTCTCGTTTTGGTGGCTATCTTGGGTCTGTCACCTGGAGTGCAGGCACTGGTGTCATCTCAACAATGGCCGGGTGGTATTGTGGACTAACTACCTCGAGGTAATCTCTGGAGTTTTGCAGCTGGGTCTCCATACTCCGTCTGTCTCGAGATTAGCCCCTGGGTAAGCACATAATTAGATACAAGCATGCAAAGTTAGATAAATGTGCATGGTATAATGGAGTGTATGGTGAGAAAGGGAGGAACATGATATTTCAAAGAAAGTACATTTCAAGGCTAATATTTTAAGACTAAGGAGAAGAAAAAAAGATTTCTGCAGTAAGCTTCAAGGTTACATATTGAAACTAGGGAAAAAAGAGAAAAAATGAAATAAAATGCATTTTCAGGCTAGACTGGTTATGAAACTGTCTTTGTAAAAATCATTAACTCAGAAAATTATGACAGTGAAAGGTGTCAGAACTAACTGACCCTATCGTGCTTCTAACCTCTAAACTGTCCTTGTTCATTCCTAGGCATAGGCCAAACTACCTTTGGGAAGGAATTTAGTGTATAGTTTATGTAACAGTCCTTCCCAAAAAGCTAAACTGTTCTTGTAAAACAAATGAAAGGCCACCAGCCATGAAGTCAAGATGAGAGGGGCTAGATTTCTAAATATTACCAGCCATTATTCTGGAGGTCATAAGATTTGCAACTTTCCTAATTATTCTTGAAGGTAACATCACTATTGTCAACCTAAGATGGGCCTTTTGAGATGACTTTTCAGGTTTTTCATTTCTCACAACCAGACGGCGCCACCTGGACCTGCCAACCAGTTCTGTGCCCCCACCCAGGAATTGACTCAGCATTAGACAACAGCTTCGACTCCCTATGAGTTCATCCCCAAGCCAACCAATCAGCACTCCTGATTCACTGGCCCCCTACCCACCAAATTATCCTTAAAAACTCTGATCCCTGAGTTTTCAGGGAAACTGATTTGAGTAATAATAAAACTCCAGTCTCCCGCACAGCTGGCTCTGCGTGAATTACTTTCTCTTTTTTTTTTTTGAGACAGAATTTCACTGTTGTTCCATGCTGGAGTGCAATGGTGCGATCTCGGCTCACTGCAACCTCTGCCTCCCATGTTCAAGCGATTCTTCTGCCTCAGCCTCCTGAGTAGCTGGGATTACAGGTGCACGCCATCACACCTGGCTAATTTTTGCATTTTTTTTTTTTTTAGTAAAGATGGGATTTCACCATGTTGGTCAAGCTAGTCTCAAACTCCTGACCTCGTGATCTGCCCGCCTCGGCCTCCCAAAGTGCTGGGATTACAGGCGTGAGCCACTGCGCCCGGCCATGAATTACTTTCTCTGTTGCAATTCCCCTATAATCCCAGCACTTTGGGAGACTGAGGTGGGCAGATCACGTGAGGTTGGGAGTTCAAGACCAGTCTGCCCAACATGGAAAAACCTTGTCTCTACTAAAAATACAAAATTAGCCGGGCGTGGTGGCGCATGCTTGTAATCCCAGCTCCTCGGGAGGCTGAGGCAGAGAATCACTTGAACCCGGGAGGCGGAAGGTGCAGTGAGTGGAGATCACGCCACTGCACTCCAGAATGGGTAACAAGAGTGAAACTCCGTCTGAAAAAAAAAAAAAAGCAGACTCAAAGCTGTGAGAAAAGTGACGTGGAAGTATGGGGGCATGCTCTGTTCTGGTCGGGACTCAAAATGAGGAGCGTAGAATACAATGGACAGAAGAGCTGGGCTGGGTTGAGCATGGGTTCTAGGCCTTGAACCTAAACAAGCACAGGAAAAGTTGGTCAGCATCTTGTGAACTGCCACCATGGAAACCACTGCATTGATCAGCAACACAAATGGGGGGAGTGGGGGTTTCTGGAATAGGGCTAGTCTCTCACTACTTCTTGCCCTCCAGAGATGGCTACAATAGGGTTTGGTCTCATTGTCGCCCAGGCTGGAGTGCAGTGGCATGCTCAAGGCTCACTGCAACCTCTACCTCCCAGATTCAAGCCATCTTTCCGCCTCAGCCCCTCTAGTAGCTGGGACTACAGGTACGCACCACTGCGACCAGCTAATTTTTTTTTTTTTTTGAAAGATGTGGTTTTGCCACGTTGGTCTTGAACTCCTGATCTCAAGTGATCCGCCTGCCTCAGCTTCCCAAAGTGCTGAGATTATAGGAGTTAGCCACCACGCCTGGCCCTTGATGTTTTCATACTATGGGTTATGATCCATTAGTCACTCATGAAAACATCAGGATACACTGTAGGTGAGGATACAAATTTTGTGAAACTTTTCTTTTGGTTATATATGTGTATGTAGGTCAAAATGTCTTTCTTACTGTCGTTGAAAGCCACAGGTTTAGAGAGCTGGGAGGACAGGGGCTCTCCCAGTCCCTAATTGCACCAAATGCCTCGTATTAATCATAGTAGAGCTAAAATGAAAAAAAAAAAAAAAAAAAAAAAAGAAACACACACCTCAGTATCTATCAACAACAGTACCACAGAGAAACTCACATTGTTAATTAAAGTATATAATGTAAATATGGTATTGAAAGTATAAAAATTAAAGGCTTCTGAAAAACTCAAGAAGGGTCAAAAGGCTATACAAGCAAGTAGTATACAGATTGTTTCCTTAAAAGATAAATTTTAATATACAGAATAAAATCCAAGATGATTTTATTATTTTTCACTTTCCCAAAACTTGTGAGCATGAATGCTTCTAAATCTGACCAATGAAGTTTACATTTTGGTCCAATACATTATGAGACTAACTTGTATGATCAAGTCCAGCTTGATTATCATAAATCATAGAAGTTAACAATTTACTCTGAGAATCTGTTGCTAATATAGATGATGGATTTCCAATTTTTTCTTAGCTAAGAATTTACTCAACTTTAGCTCAGAACCAGATTCAAAATATCTTCTTTAATTAGCTGGTCATCATTTTAGGCTTAATCTAGGCAAATTATTTAATACTCAATTGAAGATCATATAAAACCTCCAAAATAAATAAAAAGTACACAAAATTATTAGCTTTTGTGTACAATACAGAAAATACAGGTCAGTTCTGGACCAAAATAATTGCATTAAAATACAAAAGGTGATAGGGAAGAATTAAAAGATTTGCAGTGACTGCTTTTGGTGGTCAGCTACAACAAGCCAACAACCCTCAGCTATTTTGGAAAGTGAAGGTGAGTCTTAATTTGCAGATAATGAATGTCTTCGGTAGTTTAAAAAAATATAAACTCTAAAAAAGCTCGTGAATCATATACAAAAGCAGCTATTTGAGACCAAGGTTGAACACCAGAAATTGTGTTAGCACCACCAGCAAGCACAGGGTCCTCTGACTCTTCCGCCCTCCTATCTTGTGCAGAATGCAGACTTGAATGTTGTACACATCATTTACAGTTACAAAAATCGGCCTTGAGTACAGGGTTCCTGTAGGGTAGTCTTAAGTCCTAAGAGGCACCAAGCGGTTACAAAGGCTAGGTGACAATCCAAATCACAAGGTCCGACGATATAATAAATCCCGTGTTGCCTTATCAACTTTTTGCTGGTAGTCCTCCAATTTGTCAAGTATTTTCTGGGACAGCTATAAGAGAAAAGAAGGAAAACATTACATAACAGCTCAACAATGGAAAAATATTGAAGTTATTAATAACTTTGACTTCACCAAGTAGATTCCACCTTATAAAGATGTTAGCCACTCTGCTTCATAAAATCACCATTTGTTATAGGAGTCTCCTCTGTGACTCTACTGATAAAACTAGGCCTCTCTGTTATATACAACATTTCAGTCTCATTTTCTGAATGAATTTTCTAAGTATGGAAATCGTACCAGTATTTCTAATAAAAGGATCACTAACTCTTTTCTCAGAACCAGAAATGCTGCATCTGATATAACTAGTTATTAGCTGCCAAGTGAAATATAGAACTAATATTTTAGATAGGCTCAGGAGGCACTCTATCTCACTGGTAAACAAAATAAGCCATCACTATAATGACTCAAGGAAACACTATTGTTTTTTATGTTAAGGCAAGCAGGGTGAATATATGACTCCTGAGAAATGTTGTTATATATGCCAACTTCCCTCAGGACAGTGATAATTTATCACACTGTATTTCTTTCTTTTTCAGGGTGGGGGAATGGAGTCTCACTCTGCTGTCTAGGATGGAGTGCGGTGGTGCAATCTTGGCTCACTGGAACCTCCGCCTCCTGGGTTCAAGCGATTCTCCTGCCTCAGCCTCCCGAGTAGCTGGGATTACAGGTGCCCGCCACCATGCCTGGCTAGTTTTGGTATATTTAGTAGAGATGGAATTTCACCATGTTGGCAAAGCTGATCTCGAACTCCTGACCTCTCAGGTAATCTGCCCGTCTCAGCCTTCCAAAGTGCTGGGATTATAGGCGTGAGCCACTGCGCCCGGCCTATCATTGCTGTATTTCAAGTACCTGTTTACCTTGTAGGGTCTGCCCTACCAAATTAAAAGCTTTAAAGGATGGACCGACTGCTTGCCATTTGTCTCTGTATAATTAACACTTACACAGTTCCTCATTATGTTTTCTTGATCCTGTTACTTAGATCCTCTGCCTTATCTATAAAGGGACTGGGCAGTTTGTTAAGGGCCAAAAATAGGCTTTTGTCTTCCCTTTCTAATCCCGGAGAACTGAAGATCAAGCTGTAAGGTGTAACTGCTAGTGCAGGGGCTTACACAAGACGTCTCATGAAAGGGCTGACTTACTGCGATGTTGTGACTGTTGGCACTGTTCTCTCCCAGAGCTTGGAGAAGCTGATCAATAGAGGAGTATGGAAGCCACACCATTGGGGCTGTTGCGGACAGTGGAAACTAAAAGGAAAATGTTTATTTGAAAACAGTCTGCAAAGTGTACCATTTCTTCTGGGTAGTTGCTTTCATAGGACTCTGTAGAATAAAATACCCTTTTTTTTTTTTTTTTTGAGATGGTCTTGTTCTGTCGCCCAGGCTGAGTGCAGTGGCACAATCTCAGCTCACTGCAACCTCCGCCTCCTGGGCTCAAGCAATTCTTGTGCCTCAGCCTCTTGAGTAGCTGGACTACAGATGTGCACCACCATGCCTAGCTAATTTTTTTATGTTTATTTTTAGTAGAGATGGGGTTTCACCATGTTGGACAGGCTGGTCTCAAACTCCTGGCCTCAAGTGATCCACCTGCCTTGGCCTCCGAAAGTGAGCCACTGTGCCCGGCAAAATAAAATGCATTTTTTCCCCCAACCACAAGAAACTGTGTGTATACATGTGCATGCACACAATGGGAACCCTCTTTTCTCCAACTGGGAAACTTGTCATTTTTTTCGGTTAAATATATTTAAAAATTCATGTCGGCTGGGCCTGTAATTCCAACGTTTTGGGAGGCCGAGGTGGGCGGATCACAAGGTCAGGAGTTCGAGACCAGCCTGGCCAATATGGTGAAACCCCGTCTCTACTAAAAATACAAAAATTAGCCAGGTGTGGTGGCACAGATGTAGTCCCAGCTGCTCGGGAGGCTGAGGCTGAAGAATTGCTTGAACCCGGGAGGCGGAGGTTACAGTGAGCCGAGATCATGCCACTGCACTCAAGCCTGGGCGACAGAGCGAGACTCCGTCTTGGAAAAAATAAAAAAATAAAAATAAAAAATAATTTCATGTCAACTTTCTTTTTTTTTTCAGACAGGGTCTCACTCTGTCACTCAGGCTGGAGTGTAGTGGCATGATCATAGCTCACTGTACCCTCAACCTCCAGGGCTCATGTGATCCTCCCACCTCAGCTTCCCACATAGCTGGGACTATAGGCACGCACCACCATGACCAGCTAATTTTTTTCTATTTTTTGTAGATAAAGGTTCTCACTATGTTGCCAAGGCTGGTCTTAACCTCTGGGTTTAAACGATCCTCACACCTTGACCTCCGAAAGTGCTAGGATTACAGGTGTGAGCTATTGCACCTGGCTGATTTCATGAGGGTTGAAGCTGTAGTTAACTACACCTATTTAGACCTGGCTCTTCTATTATATTTGCCATCTGTATGAGCCTGTGATAACCTCTGAGCCTGTTCCCTCATGGGTTAAAAAATAGAAAATTAAAACATTCCTTCATAAGGCTGCTATAAGGATTAAATAAAAAAATGCTTGTAGAGACTTAACACAGTCCCGGCACACACACAATACCATTTTGTTTATCTCTCTCCACTGAATCCTAACTAATGCCATATTATTTTGATAGAGAAAGATGAAATTCCTATTTTATAAACAGGAGACTAGAGATTCCTAGAGTGTCAATATTTAGTTGTATAACTACAGATAGTAAAGGTTAAATACACTAACATATAGTTCAATTTACTCTCAGATTCTCACCTTACATAGCATGATAATAAAAAGAAATGCCTAGGCCGGGCATGGTGGCTCACATGGGTAATCCCAGCACTTTGGGAGGCCGAGGTGGGTGGATCACTTGAGGTTAGGAGTTCCGAGACCAGCCTGGCCAACATGGTGAAGCCCCATCTCTACCAAAAATATTAAAAAATTAGCTGGATGTGGTGGCAGGTGCCTGTAATCCCAGCTACTCAGGAGGCTGAGGCAGGAGAATCACTTGAACCCGGGAGGCGGAGGCTGCAGTGAGGGAGTAAGTGGAGGCTGCATCACTGCACTCCAGCTTGGGCAACAGAGCAAAACTCAGTTAAAAAAAAAAAAAAATATATATATATATATATATATATATATATATATATATATATATATATATATATGCGCCTATACCGATGTTCCTCAACTTATGGTGGGTTTGTTTTCCAATAAACCCACTATCAGTTGAAAATATCATAGGTTGAAAATACATATAATACATCTAACCTAATGAACATCACGGCTTAGCCTAGCCTACTTAACCATGCTCAGGACACTTAACGTTAACCTATAAAGTTGGGCAAAATCATCTAACAGAAAGCCTACTTTATAATACACTGTTGAATATCTTGTGTAATTTATTGAATACTGTACTGCAACTGAAAAACTGAACGGTTGTATGAGTATTTTATTTATTTATTATTTATTTATTTATTTATTTTTGAGATGGAGTCTCGCTCTGTTGCCCAGGCTGGAGTGCAGTGGCATGATCTCGGCTCACTGCAACCTCTGCCTCCCAGGTTCAAGCGATTCTCCTGCCTCAGCCTCCTGAGTAGCTGGGATTACAGGTACGTGCCACTGCATCTGGCTAATTTCTGTATTTTTAGTAGAGACGGGGCTTTGCCATGTTGGCCAAACTGGTTTCGAACTCCTGACCTCAGGTGATCTGTCTGCCTCGGCCTCCCAAAGTGCTGGGATTATAGGCATGAGTCACTGTGCCCGGCCATCAGTATTTTAAAGTATGGTTTCTCATAAATGTTCATCACTTTCAAACCACTGTAAAGTTGAAAAATCGTAAGTCAAACCATTGTAAATTGGGGACCATTTGTATATGCCTACCTCAATTCCGAAGTATTGATGTCCTTTTCCCAATACAGCATCCACATATTCTGACACCAAATCCACAGCTTCTTCTAAAAGGTCATAGTTTAAGTATAAACGAAGCAATTCAGCAGCATCAACCTTCTGTGAAAAGTCAGTGATTAAGAATATGTACCTATTTCCCTCCTACTTGAGTACTGACCAAAGAATGTTGAGTGGCTGATTCCCTAACATTTGTATTTCTCAATATAATTAAACCAGTGGCTTGGTTTACTCATCTGTATCTTAGGATAAGAGCTGATAACAAATCTGGGGAGTTAGGAAAAAAAAAAAGTTAAATCCCTAAGAGCCGTTACCTCTAGGCAGTTTGGGAGGCCCTTATCTGTTAAATAGCCTTCTTCCCCTGTTTTATGACCTAAGACATATTTTAACTTCTCTCCACTTCAGTTTCCACAGTTGTAAAGTCAACAAACTTTTCCTGAACACTAAAGTGACAATATATTCACATAATAAGAAATATATGAATGACAAATGCAAAAGAAGTTCAAAGAATCACCAGCTTTAAATCTGAAGTCTCTATTTGGAAGAGCTCTATTAATTAAGCATGCTTTCTATATTCCCATTTGATCACAATCTTACCTTTACCATCTTAGCTGGCTTCCCTACTTTCCTATTTATTTATTTTTTTTGAGACAGAGTCTTGCTCTGTCGCCCAGGCTTGGGGGCAGTGGTGCAACCTCAGATCACTGTAACCTCTGCCTCCAGAGTAGCTGAGATTACAGGCACGCACCATCACATCCAGATAATTTTTGTATTTTTAGTGGAGATGGGGTTTCACCATGTTGGCCAGGCTGGTCTCGAATTCCTGACCTCAGGTGATCTGCCTGCCTTGGCCTCCCAAAGCGCTGGGTTTACAGGCGTGAGTCACCGTGCCCGGCCTCCTTTCTACCTTAAAAAAAAAACAAAAACAAAAACAAAAAAAACAAAACAAAACAAAACAAAAAAAACCAAAAAAAACTTTCCTGATTTTAAGCTTTAGATTTTCTCTTTCCTTATCCTACTAACGGTGGTTCAGATGCAGAAGTTCTCAAACTTTAGCATGCATCAAAATCAAATTAGGAGCTTCTTAAAATGTAGATTTCTGGCTCCTAGCCTGAGATAATCTGATTCTGTAAGTCTAGGATGAGGAATCTGTATTTTGAAGAAGACTGCCATCTGAATAATTCTGATGCAGACAGTCTAAGAACCCGTTTTTGATTTTTAATAGGTGAAACAGTGGGAGTGGAGAAGGAACCAATCGGAAACTGGTTGTGCTCAATTAGTTGTAAACAACACGGCACTCAGACCAGCCATAGTGTTATATTATTTGAAAAGTACTCCACCGACTCCTGTGACTTTTTTGAGGTATGAAGAGTAAATCCTGTGTCATGCATATGCTCATTGTTCTAAATATAAACTCATTGTTCAGTGAATATAATAGGAGTCATTAACCTAATTACTAACCTATGAAACTTCAAATCTAAATACACAGTAGTACTGTGGAAATGAATTTGAATTGTTCTTATGGTTTTAGCTATGATGAAAAGCTTCCCAAAGTACGTAAGTCAATATGTTCCCATAAGTTATCACCCCATCTTTTTCTTTTTCTTTATATATTTTTAAATTTAAATAGAGATGGGGTCTCCCTGTGTTGCCCAAGCTGGTCTCAAACTCCTGGGCTCAAGCCATCCTCCCCTGTTGGCCTACCAATGTGCGGGCATGACAGGTATGAGCCACTGCAATCAGTCCATATTTTTAATCATCTCATGAAGTTATCCAGAATGATAAAGAGTGGGTTCTTACTCTGTACAAGTTATAATCCGTTTACCTTGTAACTGTTTATAAGCCAATTAGGCAGAGGCACTCCATGAGACAAGAGCTTGTTGATTACACAGTGGTGATACAAGTTATTCTGGACTTTGTACCTCTCCAGGTAAGTGGATAATAGTCGCCATGCTTCATCTGTAGCACTTGAAAAAAACAAAAATGACTAATGAGTTTCAGATTCTTAATAGCTATTTAGAGTACCATTCAAAGCATGTATTTACAAGGAAAACTTTTTTTTCAGACAGGGTCTTGCTCTGTCACCCAGGCTAGAGTGGAGTGGTGTGATCTCAGCTCACTGCAGCCTCAGCCCCAGATTCTCCCATTTCAGCTTCCTAAATAGCTGGGAATACAGGCATGCACCACTATGCCCAGCTAATTTTGTTTATGTTTTGTAGAGACAAGGACTTGCTATGTTGTCCACGCTGGTATTAAACTCCAGAGCTAAAGTGATCCTCTGACCTTGTCCTCCCTAAGTGTTGGGATTACAGGCAGGAGTCACCATGCCCAGCCTTACAAGGAAAACTTTAGAAATTAACAACTGAATCAATAATATAGCTAAATGGGAACAAATATTATTTGGGCTAATGTGACTTATGGGGATAGCACTAGAAACTAGATGTCTTGGGTTCGTATATTCCTCTCCCACTAACGTATTTAGTATTTAGTAAACAAACATATTTAGTAAATGAACGTTATTTGTTTGGCTATTAATGCATAATTCATTTAACTCCTTTGTTTCTGCATTTCTAAAACAAGAAACTGGTTCAGAACACTGGTTCTCAAACCTGATCAAGCATTAGAATCATGCAGAAGTTCTAACTTAGAAGACTAGGGTGATTTCTCATAATCTGTATTTTAATAAGTTATTCTGATGTGCTAATTTAGGGGTTGAAAACTAATGTCAGAGAACTTCCAAATTCTAAAGTGCTATCACTCTAAAGTGCTAAGCTGTATAATACCAAGTGCAAATGCAGTTCAGAAAGGGAAGTTTACTGAGGGTTAGGAATGTTAGAGAAGGTTTCTGAAGAAGCTGAAGTATATTTACGTGGACACAAAGTGGGTGCACTGGGGAAGTATACGAACCAGAGGAGATCTGAAGAAGGTATAGTGGATGATGGGGGCTGATGGGTGACAGACTGCTGAACAGCAGCTGGAGACAAGATATAAGAGGACACTGTGATGAAACCATGCAGTGACTGCTCAGTGGAAGAAATGGGGGAAAAAAGGAGGATAACACTCCGAAACAAGTAAATACAGATTTTTGCCTGTAAGAGTACCCTTTCCTGATATGAAACAGTAAGTCTTTGAGGAGGGGGATATGGAGAAGGAGACATTTCATAGGCAAAGACATCCTAGTTTGGACAATAAATGACATGATGTCACCTTAATTATAAACTTTCCAGCCCCTATAAAAACTTAGCCAAAAAGAAAGAAAAAAGTGAAATGATCTATGTAGGACAATTTAGTCAGAGAAAGACAGTTACAGCTTTTAGAAAGGCAAAACTACCCAGGGTTGAACACCAGGGTTGTACCTAGACTCCTTAGTAGTGATGACAGATGAGAGCTGATTGGCTGCTAGCCAGGCCCAGGCTTCTGCTTGTGCTGCCTCTCCTCCAAATTGCAATTTGATGCATCTGGAATGAAAATGGTTCCACACTTGAAAACTGAACGCTGAAACGTACCACTTTAATTTGATACTAAAACTAGAGAGATAGATGACAACTTCATCTCTAGTCTTTTGCTGAATTCACTACTGGAATATTGGCTCATCTCTTCCTCAAGTTACACAACTGGATACCTACAAGAACATGAGTAAGCATTAAGAGACAATTTACTTCCAAGATAAAATTAATGATGAAAAATTCTTTTTTCTTTTCTTTTTTTTTGAGATGGAGTCTTGCTCTGTCACCCAGGCTGCAGTGCAGTGGTGCAATCTCAGCTCACTGCAACCTCTGCCTCCCAGGTTCAAGTGATTCTCCTGTCTCAGCCTCCTGAGTAGCTGGGACTACAGGCCCATGCCACCATGCCTGGCTAATTTTTTGTATATTTAGTAGAGACGGGGTTTCACTGTGTTAGCCAGGATGGTCTTGATCTCCTGACCTCATGATCCGCCCGCCTAGGTCTCCCAAAGTCCTGGGATAACAGGTATGAGCCACCGCACCTGGCCTCTTTTTTTTTTTAAATTAAGATGGAGTCTCGCTCTGTTGCCCAGGCTGGAGTGCAGTGGCGCAATCTCAACTCATTGTAACCTCCGTCTCCCAGGCTCAAGCGATTCTCCTGCCTTAGCCACCCAAGTAGCTGGGATTACAGGCACACGCCACCTCTCCTGGCTAACTTTTGTATTTTTAGTAGAGATGGGGTTTCGTCATGTTGGCCGGGCAGGTCTTGAACTCCTGACCTCAAGTGATCTGCCCACCTTGGCCTCCCAACGTGATGGCATTACAGGCGTAAGCCACTGCACCTGGCTGAAAAATTCTGAAAGTTCAAAATTATTTCTAATTCACAAACTTTTTTTTTTTTTTTTTTTGAAACAGAGTCTTGCTTTGTTGCCCAGGCTCGAGTGCAGAGGCGCGATCTCAGCTCACTGCAACCTCTGCCTCCCAAGTTCAAGAGATTCTTGTGCCTAAGCCTCCTGAGAGGCTGAAATTACTGTTGTGTGCCACACCCTCATTTTTGTATTTTTAGTAGAGACAGGGTTTCACCATGTTGGCCAGGCTGGTCCCAAGCGATCCACCCGCCACAGCCTCCCAAAGTATTAGTAGGATTACAGATGTGAGCCACTGTGCCTGGCCAAGAAATTCTTCTTCTTTTTTTTGAGACAGAGTCTCGCTCTGTCGCCCAGGCTGGAGTGCAGTGGCGCGATCTCGGCTCATTGCAAGCTCTGCCTCCCAGGTTCACGCCATTCTCCTGCCTCAGCCTCCCGAGTAGCTGGGACTACAGGCGCCCGCCACCACGCCCGACTAATTTTTTTTGTATTATTTTTAGTAGAGACGGGGTTTCACCTTGTTAGCCAGGATGGTCTTGATCTCCTGGCCTCGTGATCCGCCCGCCTCGGCCTCCCAAAGTGCTGGGATTACAGGCGTGAGCCACTGCGCTCAGCCTGAAATTCTTTTTAAGAATGCTTGGATGGATTAAACAAAACACTTCTTCAAATCATAAATGATATATGGGCTACTTGGCTTATGACGACTGTTTCACACTGAGCAAGAGGATAATATATTTGCATTAGAAAAGACTATAAAAAAATAATTTTATACATACTTGAAGGCAAGCCCTTCAAAGACTGGCGTTAAGGGAAGCTTAAAAGTCTGACAGAGTGATATGGCAGTGTCAAAGAGGCCCGCCTGAACCAAGAGAGTGACCATTTCCTCTGCTGATGAACTTCCTGTGAAAATGGAAAAAGATTATTTCGTGTAGCCAAGGTATACACAAATGAAACCAAAGATTTTGTTTTGTTGATGAGTATCTCTGAGTAATAACCCAGGCTTTATACCCATCTACCATGCTACATACACTGCCTGGACCTAAAATGTGCTCGTGGTGCTGACAAGTCAGAGGCTTTAAACTCTTGAATTCCTACCAGCAACTGCAACCGCTGATGGATCATGCTGAGCCAAAGTGAGGCGGATGCGAGCCAAGGAACACTCTTTCTCCAGATCTTCCAGTTCCAGGATTTCAATTTGTCGATTTGCTATACATCAAAGAAAAATATTTTGAACTCCCAAAATACAAAGAAGTATCCATCAGATTAACGCAACCTGTCAATTTCCACTGAACATTAAGTAACATTCAATCTAATTTCCAAATGCATGAAGGAAGGAGAAAATAGGGCACTAAATAAATGCTAACTTAAACAAATTATGCAATATCCCATGTCAAATCAAAGTATTTTAACCGACTGCAGTTGAGGAGGTGCTTACAAGGTACTACATGTAATTTCATTTAACTCTTTAAACTTTTTTTTTTTTTTTTAAGGAAACAAATCTCAATCTGTCACCCAGGCTGGAGTGCAGTGGCATGATCTCGGCTCACTGCAACCTCCGCCTCTTGGGTTCATGTGATTCTCCTGCCTCAGCCTTCCGAGTAGCTGGGATTACAGGCGTGCACCACCATGCCCAGCTAATTTTTGTATTTTTAGTAGACACGGGGTTTTACCATGTTGGCCAGGCTGTTCTTAAACTCCTGACCTCAGGTGATCCAGCCACCTCAGCCTCCCAACGTGCTGGGATTACAGGCATCAGCCACTGTGCCCAGCCTAAAAAATTTTTTTTCTACAGGGTCTTGCTATGTTGCCCAGGCTGGTCTTGAACTCCTGAGCTCAAATGACCCTCCTGCCTTGGCCTCCCAAAATGCTGGGATTACAAGGCATGAGCCACTGCACCTGGCCTCATTTAACTATTATAATTGTGAAATACTGTCTGTCATCTCTATCAATAAGAAAGAAATATGACCAAACTGTGAGAGGCAGAAATAAAACCAGGTGTGTCCAAATCTAGAGCCTCGGCTCTTTATGGAAGGATATCATGCCTCTGTGGAAATAGCAAAAGAACTTGATAAAAAAAAAGCTTGGAACTAAGCTGATTTAAATACAACATTCAAGAAAAAAACCACATTCTTATTTAAGCATTTTCATTTCTCTTACTGTTGTACAACATTTTCGAAGTGCTACCAGACAACCTTTAGCAGATTAGAATGCTGAAAATAAACTAAAAAGAAGGAACTTTACAATATTTTTACAGCAATGTAATTATTATATATAATATATAGTATATAACGTTACTACTATGTATAGTATATAACAATGTAACTGTATATGTTACAATATAACTACTGTCTAAATTGCATGTATAGTTGACCCTTGAACAATGCAGGGTTTAGGGATGCTGGCTCCTGAGCAGTTGAAACTCTGCATATAACATTTCATTACCCAAAAACTTAGCTACTAATAGCCTACTACTGACCAGAAGCCTTACTGACAACCTAAACAGTCAATTCACACATATTTTGTATTTTATATACTGTACTTTTTTTTTTTTTTTTTTGAGACAGAGTTTCGCCCTTATTGCCCAGACTGGAGTGCAATGGCGCGATCTCGGCTCACTGCAACCTCTCCCTCCTGGGTACAAGTGATGTTTCTGCCTCAGCCTCCCAAGTAGCTAGGATTACAGGAATGCGCCACCACGCCCAGCTAATTTTTTATTTTTAGTAGAGACAGGGTTTCTCCATGTTGGTCAGGCTGGTCTCAAAACTCCCAACCTCAGGTGATCTGTCTGCCTTGGCCTCCCAATGTGCTGGGATTACAGGCGTGAGTCACTGTGCCTGGCCTATATACTGTACTCTTGGTTGTGGTTGTTTTGAGACGGAGTCTTGCTCTTGTTGCCCAGGCTGGAGTGCAGTGGCGCGATCTCAGCCCACTGCAACCTCAGCCTCCCGAGTTCAAGCAATTCTCCTGCCTCAGCCACCTGAGTAGCTGGGATTACAGCCACCCGCCACCACACCCAGCTGATTTTTTGTAGTTTTACTAGAGACGGGGTTTCATCATGTTGGCCAGGCTGGTCTTGAACTCCTGACCTGAGGTGATCCACCCGCCTCAGCCTCCCAAAGTACAGGGATTACAGGCATGAGCCACCGCACCTGGCCTATACTGTACTCTTAAAAGAAAATGTTATTAAGAAAATCATAGGGAAGGCAGGCACAGTGGCTCATCCCTGTAGTCCCAGCACTGTGGGAGTCCGAGGTAGGAGGATTGCTTGAGTCCAGGAGTTTGAGGCTGCAGTGAGCCATGATTGTGCCACTGCATTGCAGCCTAGGCAACACAGTGAGACCCTGTTTCAAAAACAAAAACAAACAGGTTTAGGCAAGTGTCCTTTCCCCTCAGTGATTTTCCTTAATGGTGTCTGGGAACTCTTCTGCTGCTCCTTGGTCAGCAGAAGCTGCTTCTCCTGTATCTTGACATTTTAAAAGCCATATCTCTTTCTTAAATTGTCAAACCATCCTTTGCTGGCATTAAATTCTCCAGCTTTAGATCTTTTACCTTCCTTTTGCTTTAAGTTGTTGTATAATAACCTTTGTTTTGCAAATCATGTTAGAGTCTATAGATATGCCTTTTTTTATAGCAATACTGTACCCACATAAAAGCTGGATTTTCAATATGAGATAAAAATATATTTTGCAAAAAGCACAAGGTTTTTGTACCTACTGGCGAAGCTGAAGCAACAGCTTCACAAATTTTCTCTTCTTTTTTTTTACAATGTTCCTTACACTGGATTCATTTTTCTTGAAATGGCAGGCAACCTCAGCTGCCGGCCTCAATCTACAGTAGACATCAAGCAGTTCAACTCTTTCTTGTCATGTTATGACTTTTTTCTGCTCTTTGGGAGCACTTCCAGCGTCACTAGTGACACTTCGTATGGGTCCCACTAAACATTATTTTTTTTGAGGCGGAGTCTTACTCTGTTGCCCAGGCTGGAGTGCAGTGGCACGATGTGTGCTCACGGCAACCTCTGCTTCCTGGATTCAAGCAATTCTCCTGCCTCAGCCTCCTGAGTAGCTGGGATTACAGGTGAGGGCCACTACTGCCCAGCTAATTTTTGTATTTTTAGTAGAGATGGGGTTTCGCCACACTGACCAGGCTGGTCTTGAACACCTGACCTCAGGTGATCCACCTGCCTCGGCCTCCCAAGGTGCTGGGATTACAGGTGTGAGCCACCACACCCGGCTTCCTTAACTTTTTCAATATTTCTAGGCTATGTGGTTCAACTGGGAGTTTTTTCAAATTGTGACAATCTCCAGAAAAAGAATCCAATATACTTATTGAAAACAAAAATCTGTGTATAATAGGTGCCTGCAGTTAAAACTTGTGTTTTACAAGGGCAACTGTTACTACTATAACATTTATATATTACTATTATATGTAGCTTATTTAACTACATATTTCTATCATAATACAACTAACAATAACAACATTACTACTGTCTAGCAAAGAACCAGTGTGAGACTCCTGACTCACTGGGGGCAGCTGTGCATTCTCCATCATGATTCCTCTTAGGGGATGCTCCAGGGCGATCATACTGATAAAACAAAACAAGCAATTTAACTGTGAAAATCAGTATTTTATTCTGATATCATTAACGGTGATTCATAGCTTTTATGCTTAAATTTTCTCAATGGAAATTATTTTTGTTTCGACCAGCAGAGCTCTTCTTACAGAGGTACTGTAACTATGAGACAAAGAAAGAAGTTCTTTGCCAAGTTGTTAACTTAACCATAACATATTACTGAGTCCAAGGACAGGGATTTGATCTCCATGTAAATCAACTAATTTTTCTCGGCTCCAGAGTTATATATAACAGAAACAGCTGCATGTATCTGACCCATCAGTATGATAGGAAAAACTCAAAGTGTGTGTCCTTTAAAACAGTAACTGTAGACTGCATTAACAAACACAATAGAAATAAAAGCAGCTACCATTTACTGAGCACAGTTTGTGGGCCAGGCACTGTTACTGTTCTAAGCAATCGACTTGAATTATCTCATTAATACCCAAACAATCCTATAAAGTAGATATTATCCGTATTTTATGCCAGAGAATGACAAAAGATTAAGTAACTTGTCTGAATTGGGTCAGGTCTAACTCCAAAACCACTCTGCAATATTTCTTCCTACAATAATTCTGAACTTGAAAACTAAAGGGGTAGTAATATACAACAATTGAATTGTAAACATAGATTTTTTTCACAAATATCTCAGTAGAAATTGTAAATCAAAAGAAGCAAAATGACACAATAGTTTTGAAAGGACCAAAACAAGTAGATTTACTTGTTCCAGGATGAACCCCCAAATTCCAGGATGAAATGTTTTCATACCACTGCACCAGACACTGGCTGCACAATCCACGCATATTCTGGACGAATAAGTCGTAAACAATTGAGAGCAGCCAGATAACAGTTGCCTTGTTTCTCAAGTCCCCGGAGAGTTCGAACTTCTCTGCCAAGCCGCATTCCATACTCAAACATCACTGTGCCAGCTATGAGGAGATAATAAATTAGACTTTAGAACTTCCAAATTTTTTTTTCTTTTTTTTGGAGACAGAGTCTTGCTCTGTCGCCCAGGCTGGAGTGCAATGGCTTGATCTCAGCTCACTGCAACCTCCGCCTCCCTGGTTCAAGCGATTCTCCTGCCTCAGCCTCCTGAGTAGCTGGGATTATAGGCACACGACCACCACGCCCGGCTAATTTTTGTATTTTTGGTAGAGAGTTTAGTAGAGAGTTTCACCATGTTGGTCTCGAATTTGTGGCCTCGTGATCCGCCCACCTCAGCCTCCCAAAGTGCTGGGATTACAGGTGTGAGCCACCACACCCAGCCTTCCAAAATTTGTTTCTCTAGAGATACGCAGGGAGAATGCTATCCCTAATCAAATGTTAAAATTTAAAACAAAATTGGGTTTGATGTAACCCCTGCCCCCCCTCCCCAAAATCACATGTTGGTGAGGATGTGGAAAAACTGGAACCCTTTTGTACTGTTGCTGGGAATGTCAAATGGTGCAGCTGCTATGGAAAACAGTATGGCAGTTCCTCAAAAAATTAAAAGTGAAATTATCATGTCATTCAGTAATTCCACTTTTGGGTATATACCCCAAAGAATGAAAAGAGGGGTCTCAAAGAGATATTTCTACACCCATGTTCATAGCAGCATTATCCACAATAGCCAAAGGTGAAAGCAATCCAAGTGTCCATTGATGGATGAACAAAATTTGACATATAAATACAACAGAAAATCATTTAATTATCTGTAAGATATCTGTTTTTTTTTTTTTTTTTTTTTTTTTTTTTTTTTTTGAGACGGAGTTTTGTTCTTGTTGCCAAAGGTGGCATGCAATGGTGCGGTCTCAGCTCATTGCAATCTCTGCTTCCTGGGTTCAAGCGATTCTCCTGCCTCAGCCCCACAAGTAGCCAGGATTACAGGCGCCCACCACCACACCTGGCTAATTTTTAAAGACATTTTTAAAGAAGAAAATTCTGACGCCACTACAAGGATGAACCTTGAAGACATTATGCTAGGTGAAATAAGACAGTCACAAAAAGACACATACTATATGATTCAAGCAGCCAAATTCATAGAGATGGGTGGTAAAATGGTGGTTGCCAGGGAATCGGGGTTGGGAGGAACAAGTAGTTGTTTAATGGGTATATAGCTTCAGTTTTGCAAGATGAAAAGTGTTCTGGAGATTGGTTACACAATATTGTGAATGCACTTAACACTCCCAAACTGTACACTTAAAAATGGTCAAGATAGCGGGCGCGGTGGCTCATGCCTGTGATTCCAGCACTCTGGGAGGCCAAGACGGGCGGATCATGAGGTCAGGAGATCGAGACCATCCTGGCCAACAGGGTGAAACCCCGTCTCTACTAAAAATACAAAAAAATAGCCAGGCATGGTGGCAGCCTCAGGAGGCTGAGGCAGGAGAATGGCGTGAACCCGGGAGGTGGAGTTTGCAGTGAGCCGAGATTGCGCCACTGCACTCCAGCCTGGGCGACAGAGCGAGACTCCGTCTCAAAAACAAAAACAGTTGGGCACAGTGGCTCACGCCTGTAATCCCAGCACTTTGGGAGGCAGAGGTGGGCAGATCACCCAAGTCCAGAAATTCAAGACCAGCCTGACCAACGTGGTGAAACGTCGTCTCTACTAAAAATACAAAAATTAGGGGCTGGGTGTGGTGACTCATGCCTGTAATCCCAGCACTTTGGGAAGCTGAGGCGGGTGGATCATTTTGAGGTCAGGAGTTCAAGACCAGCCTGACCAACACATGGTGAAACCCTCTCTCTACTAAAAATGCAAAAAAAATTGTCGAGCGTGGTGGTGCATGCCTGCAGTCCCAGCTACTCAGGAGTCTGAGGCAGGAGAATCGCTTGAACCTGGGAAGGCGGAGGTTGCAGTGAGCCGAGATTATGCCACTGAACTCCAGCCTAGACGACAGAGCGGGACTCTGTCTCGAAAACAAACAAACAAACAAAAACAAAACAAAACAAAAACTAGCTGGGCATGGTGGTAGGTGCCTGTAATCCCAGCTACTTGAGAGGCTGAGGCAGGAGAATTGCTTGAACCTGGAAGTGGAGGTTGCTGTGAGCCGAGATCGAGACACTGCACTCCAGGCTGATCGATAGAGTGAGACTGTCTCAAAAAAAAAAGAACATAGATTCTCATTTTTATAATACTTTAGTTGCACATATTCAATAAGATTCTGAAAAGTCCATTGTTCTGGAACAGCATGGGACTCCAGAAATTAAAATATCATTAAAAATTCTTTTAGTTTTCAAATAAAGCTATTTTTCATTTCAACAAATATTTTTGAATACCTGCAATATGTAAGGCGCTTTCAGAAGAACAGCCTTGCTCTAGAAAAACCTGAACATTAATCTTGCTAAACTGGTACTAAGCAGGTTGATATAATGTTATTGTGAAAGCAGATACTGAGAGATCTTTAATAATTTTTATTTCCCTTCCTATATGATTCAAGAAAATAAAGAATATGCAAATATGTTTTACTATTAGGAATGTTAAGAACCTGCCTATGAATAAACCCCATCTACTTTTTTCCAATGAAAATCAGCAAGAAACCAAAGAAAATTCTAAGTAAAAATGGTACAAAAATGTTAGACATTCCACAGTGATTATATTGTAAAATATAATCTTAAAACAATCTCACATTCCGCTCACATTCCGTTCATTTTAGCTGTTCTGATAAATAATTCATTGATAATGTAAGTCCAAATTAAGATACATTCTACAAAAATGACTGACCTACATGCTTCAAAAATATCAATGTCATCAAAGGCAAAGTGAGGCTCCAGATTAAAGGAGCCTAAAGACATCGCACAACTAAATGCAGTGTGTATTCTAGATCCAGGGTGAGGGCAGTATGTGAGGGATGCGCTATAAAAAACATTATTGGCCAGGCGCAGTGGCTCACGGCTGTAATTCCAGCACTTTGGGAAATGGAGGTGGGTGGATCACCTGAGGTCAGGAGTTCAAGACCAGCCTGACCAACATGGTGAAACCCCGTCTCTACTAAAAATATAAAAAAATTAACCGGGCGTGGTGGTAGGCACCTGTAATCCCAGCTACTCGGGAGGCTGGGGCAGGAGAATAATTTGAACCTGGGAGGTGGAGGTTGCAGTGAGCAGACACGGTGCCACTGCACTCTACCCTGGGCAACGGAGTGAGACTTCATCTAAAAAAAAAAAAAAAAAAAAAGGAGCAGCTGCGGAAGCCCAGACACCAGGAAGGTGAGATCTTCCACACAGAAAAAGAGAAATACGAGATTACAGAGCACAGTAGGATCAATCAGAAAGCTGTGGACTCACAAATTTTACCAAAAATCAAAGCTATTCCTTAGCTCCAGGGCTACCTGTGATCTGTGTTTGCCCTGACAAATGGAATTTATCCTTACAAATTGCTGTTCTAAATGTCTTAAGAAGAACCTAATTAAATAACTGATGACATTAAAAAAATCATGATGTCTTTAACTTCCTCCCAGAAGGACCAGCAAAAACAAACAAGTAAGTAAATAAATAAATAGATATTGAGAGAGAGAGGAAGGAAGGGGGAAGAAAGGAAAGGAGGGAAGAGGAGATAAGAAAATGATGTAAAATATTAACAGTTGGGGAATTTGGATGAAAGGTATATAGGGTGATATTCACTGCGTTAATGTTTTAACTTTTCTGTAGACTTGACAAATTTTACATTAAAAAGTTGAATGAAGAAAAAAGAATTCACCAGGATATCATTTGATAACTTCTAAATGTAATTTTTTTTGAGACAGGGTCTCGCTCTGTCACCTAGGCTGGAGTGCAGTGACATGATTTTGGCTCACTGCAACCTCCACCTTCTGGGTTCAAGAGTAGCTGAGATTACAGGCATCCGCCACCATGCCCGGCTATTTTTTGTATTTTCAGTAGAGAGGGGATTTCACCATGTCGGCCAGGCTGGTCTCGAACTCCTGACATTAAGCGATCCACCTGCCTCAGCCTCCTCAAGTACTGGGATTACAGGCGTGGGCCACCGCGCCCAACCCTAAATGTAAATTTTAGTCCCCTCTTTAAGGACTTTGCATTTAATTGAGGGGATGTGGGACAATCTAACCACAGCTAATGCGGAATATCATCTATTATACTCATAACCTAAGCACATTTAAGCAGTCAGAATTTTGCTCTAAGAACTGAAATGTGGAAAGGGAGAAGGCTAATGGTGAAATAGCACAGGAACTCAAACCCAGTCTCAAAAATTCATGCTGTCTCTAGTGAAAAAGCTAATTTCCTTTATTTATTTATGAGACGGAGTTTTGCTTTTCGCCCAGGATGGAGTGAAGTGGCGTGATCTTGGCTCACTGTAACCTCCGCCCCCCGCCCCACCCTGTTCAAGCAATTCTCCTGCCTCAGCCTCCTGAGTAGCTGGGATTACAGGTGCCCACCACCACATATGGCTAATTTTTGTATTTTTAGTAGAGAAGGGGTTTCGCCATGTTGGCCAGGCTGGTCTCGAACTCCTGACCTCAGGTGATCCACCTGCCTTGGCCTCCCAAAGTGCTAGGATTACAGGTGTAAGCCACTGCGCCCAGTGCTAATTTCCTTTATAATTGTACAGAAGATGCACACAGAATGCCATTTTAGTGGCAACGCCTTGAGAAAGTTCTAGAATGGAAGCAAGGGCCTATCTTCAAGGTAATCTTCACAAGGTTTAAGCTAATCTTGTACTTAAACACATATTAAAAATTACCTAAGTCCAACACACAATATTTTGGTAAAACATGATTAAACTAATAAGGCTGTCTGCAAGATACTGTCTGGTTACATTGCTCACCCTTGCGGTAATTGTGGCGATAGATGTGAAAGGCATACAGAAGTTCATAGTAATTGTGAGTCATAAGGTCCACAGCTCTAGCACGTGACTCAATTATTCCCACAACCTAGGGAAGGGGAAGCAATCAGATAACTAAGTCAGTAGCAATCATGGCAACCACCATACTTGTTGAAAGCCATCACTGGATAAGTAAAATTACCTCATTATGCAGATTCACATAGGGAAACTCTACAAGATCCTGTAGCTGTGAGCGTTCACAAAGAACTACCACCAACTGCCGTAAACAATCTAATTGCCTAGAAGGAAAGAAAGGAATATGAGGGCAAACTATCTTAGTAGGTTAAACAGAGTTGGTAAATTGTCTTCTCTAAAAAAGGCCATGAAATTACCTGCTGGAATCAGGAATTTGGGTTAAGGCTTCATATGCTTGGCTATTGTGACCCAAATCCAAATGATGTTTGAAAATACATGTCCTTAGAGTAGCCTAAATATCAAATGTAGATCAAATATCAAAAAGAGCAATAGAAATGAACATACCACACCCACAACAAACCTTAAAGAAAACAACCAAATTGCAGCCAATTCTTACCTGACTTTTCCAGTCATCACCTGCTTCAGTTATGGCTGATGTAGCCAACTGAATAACCAGTTCAGGCAAACCAATGACATCTAGTAGTCGTAAAACCTAACGAGAAATAGAAGAAATTTCCATTAAAATTAATATTGTAATGTACTTCAAACTCAATTATGGTTTAAAATTATTGAGAAAGGTTAAGTAGGCCGGCATGGTGGCTCACACCTCCAATCCCAGTACTCTGGGAGGCTGAAGCAGCAGGATTGCTCAAGGCCAGCCTGGGCAATATGGCAAGACCCCCATCTCTACAAAAAAATTTTTTTAAAAATTAGCTGCGTGTGGTGGCATGCGCCTGTAGTTGTAGCGACTTGGGAGGCTGAGGTGGAAAGACTGCTTGAACCCAGGAGTTCAAGGTTGCAGTGAACTTTAATCCTGCCACTGCATTTCAGCCTGGGTGGTATAGCACGACCCTGTCTCTATCCTCAGTGCCTAGTATACAGTAGTCTCTCCGTAAATACTTGTTGAGGCTGGGTCTGGTGGCTCACACCTGTCATTCTGACCAACACGGCGAGACCCCATCTCTATTATTAAAAAAAAAAAAAAAAAGCAAGCTTGTTGAATGAAAGAATAAATACGATTTCACTACTAACTGTTCAAGTCACAGATGAATGTAAAGAATAGTAAATAAACACCATAGTTTTATAAAAACCCTAAAGATAATTTACTAAATGACTGACATAATCCTTTTTTTTTTTGAGACAGGGTCTCTGTCAATCAGACTGGAGCACAATGGTGTGATCTCGGCTCACTGCAACCCCTACCTCCTGGGTTCAAGTGATTCTCCTGCCTCAGCCTCCTGTGTAGCTGGGATTACAGGCATGCCCCACCACGTTCAGCTAATTTTTGTGTTTTTAGTAGAGATGGGGTTTCACCATGGTGGTCAGAGTGGTTTTGATCCCCTGACCTCAGGTGATCTGCCTGCCTCAGCTTCCCAAAGTGCTAAGGTTACAGGCGTGAGCCACTGTGCCCGGCCTGACAAACATTTTTGATTGTCCACCCTGTCAACGTCTGCCCGCTACCCTAACCATGCACATTTCCCTATCTCATATACGTGCAATTCTCTAATACATATGTATGATACATCCAAAATACGCATTTATAAAGGATGAAGATAAAATAAAAAGTTTTAAAATTATTTTTATTAATTTTTTGAGACAGGGTCCTGCTCTGTTGCCCAGGCTGGAGTGCAGTGGCATGATCATAGCTCAGTGTAGCCTTGACCTCCTGGGCTCAAGTGAACATCCCATCTCAGCCACCTGAGCAGCTGGGACCACAGGCATGCACCACCATGCCCAGGTAATTTTTTAATTTTTTGTAGAGATGGGGTCTTCCTATGTTGTCTGGGCTAATCTCAAACTCCTAGGCTCCAGTGATCCTCCTGCCTTAGCCTCTCAAAGTGTTGGGATTACAGGCGTGAGCCACTGCACCCACTATAATGGACCTGGAAAATTCTTATCTTCTAGTGACATCATAGCCACCGCATGTATCGCTCACGTGTTTGTGGTGATGCTGGTGTAAACAAACCTACTGTGCTGCCAGTCATATAAAAAGTACAGCATGGCCAGGCACTGTGGCTCATGCCTATAATCCCAGCACTTTGGGAGGCCGAGGCAGGTGGATCACTAGAGGCCAGGAGTTCGAGACCAGCCTGGCCAACATGGTGAAACCCTGTCCCTACCAAAAATACAAAAATTAGTGGGGTGTGGTGGTGCACACCTGTAATCCCAGCTACCTGGGACACAGAGGCAGGAGAATCGCTTCAACCTGGTAGACGGAGGTTGCAGTGAGCCCAGATCGCACTACTGCACTGGGCAACAGACTCCGTCTCAAAAAAAAAAGGAAAAAAAAAAAAGTATAGTATATACGATTATATAAAGCACATAATACTTTTTTTTAATTTTGAGACAGGGTCTCATTCTGTCACCCAGGCTGTACTGGAATTCAAAAGAATTGTCATTAGTAGGAAAGTAGAGGGTTTTTTTCTTTTTTTTTTTTGAGGTGGAGTCTTGTTTTGTCATCCAGGCTGGAGTGCAGTGGCACGATCTCAGCTCACTGCAACCTCCGCCGCCTCCTGGGTTCAAGTGATTCTCCTGTCTCAGGCTCCTAAGTAGCTGGGATTACAGGCGCACACCACCACGCCCGGCTAATTTTTGTACTTTTAGTAGAGATGGGTTTCACCATGTTGGTCAGGCTGGTCTCGAACTACTGACCTCGTGATCCGCCCACCTCAGCCTCCCAAAGTGCTGGGATTACAGGTGTGAGCCATCGCGTCCGGCCAAGGGTTATTAAGAGCTACAAATCTACTTCAGTGTAAATTCATTTATCTAATAAGCAATTAACAAAACAGTGAAGACTGCTTCTGTGGCATTTACTTTCTGGTGGGAAATCCAGATAAATTCTAGTCTAAAATATAAAATCAAGTATGGTGAAATGTTATACAATCTGGAAGTGTGCACAACAGGATGAATAAAAAAGCTTTTCTGCACAGGCCAGGCAGAGGGCACTATCTGAGGAGGTGACAGATAAGCAGAGACCTGAAT
The DNA here is from genome assembly GCF_000001405.40 of Homo sapiens. NCBI lineage: Eukaryota > Metazoa > Chordata > Mammalia > Primates > Hominidae > Homo > Homo sapiens. Next base: position 233,320 of record NW_019805496.1, read on the forward strand.
GGAATGAGGGTGTGAGGAAGGGCATTTCAGGCTGACAGAACAGCAGGCAGAAAGGCCCTAAGAGAATAGAGCATGCGCTTGACTTGAATGAGACAGTAAGAAGGTCACCATTGTTACAATGGAGTGACCAGAGGAAAGAGGGGCAGGAAACAGGTCAAGAGGACCCTCAAGTCCAAATTATAAACTAAGGCTAAATACAGCATTACTAGTCAATTCCCAGAAATATCAGCAAGACTAGTAAAGTGCAAATTAAATAATAAAATTCTAATGGCAACTGGGCTAATAAAATACCATGACGAAAATTTCATTTCAGTTAAAAGTATTTATTACATTTCACCATTTAACCCTAATTATAGATCCTGGGAAAAAATTTTAACTTAAAATATGTTTCTTTAATTTCTTTTTGTTTTTTTTTGGAGACGGAGTCTCGCTCTGTCACCCAGGCTAGAGTGCAGTGGCACGATCTTGGCTCACTACAACCTCCACCTCAAAGTTCAAGTGATTCTCCTGCCTCAGCCTCCCAAGTAGGTGGGATTACAGGCACCCGCCACCACGCCAGGCTAATTTTTGTATTTTTAGTAGAGGCAGGGTTTTGGCATGTTGGCCAGGCTGGTCTCAAACTCCTGACCTCAGGTGATCTGCCTGCTTTGGCCTCCCAAAGTGCTGGGATTACAGTCATGAGCCACCGTGCCCGGCCATGTTTCTTTAATTTCTCTAGGCAAATTCATTTTTTTTAAATTTGGAAGTTCAGGGAGCAACTGAATTTTTATAGTATTTTTCTCCAAAAATAGCAAAGCAATGTATTTCAGATGTGTTTTTACACAGGGTGGTATAAGGCCAAACCAAGACATGATGTACCTTGTCATAATACTGCAGCCTGGGGGTAGACACGATCTCCCCATCCTCTGAGCGAATCAAGCGATCCAAGAATTCCTCTTTGCCTACTTCAGATGCTGCCTGACAAAAACATTCCAGAGCCTGGAGAAATAAAATATAAAATGACTTGTAACAGATCATTCAAATTCTAGGTGCTATGAATCAGGGGTTCACATGTAAGGGAAAGCCAAAAAAGAAACAAGATTACTTAACATGGTCTACTCTATGTATAGTTTCTGACACATATGAATTCTATGTGATGCATTCATATTTTTAAAAATGTATCTCACACTTAAGTGCTACCAATTAAAAAGTAAACATTGGCCGGGTGGGGTGGCTCACGCCTGTAATCCCAGCACTTCGGGAGGCTGAGGCGGGTGGATCACGAGGTGAGGAGTTTGAGACCAGCCTGACCAACACGGTGAAACTCCATATCTACTAAAAACACAAAAATTAGCCGGGCGTGGTGGCGTGCACCTGTAATCCCAGCTACTCAGGAGGCTGAGGCAGCAGAATCGCCTGAACCTGGTGGGCGGAGGTTGCAGTGAGCTAAGATCATGCCACTGCAGTCTAGCCTTCCAGCCTGGGTGACAGAGCAAGACTGTCTCCAAAAAAAAAAGAAAGTAAACCTTAATAAGATGATTGACACATACATACATAATAAGGCAACTGTAGCAATATGTTAACAATTGTAGAATTTGAGTGATAGGTATATACTGTTCACTGTAAAAAGTCTTTAAACTTTCCTGTCTGTTTGAAAATTTATGTAATAGAACATCAGGGAAAAAATTAAAACTTTAAACTACATAACGAGAAAAAAGCAGCATAAAACAATAAAAAAAATGTAATTAATAAGTAAATTTGGGCTGTGTGCAGTGGCTCATGCCTGTAGTCCCAACACTTTGGGAGGCTGAGGTGGGCAGATCACTTGAGCCCAGGAGTTCGTGACCAGCCTGGGCAACATGGGAAAACCCCATCTCTACAAAAAATTAAAAAATTAGCCAGGAATGGTGGCTCACGCCTGTAGCCTCCAAGTACCTCAGCTACTTGAGAGGCTGAGGTAGGAGAATCACTTGAGCCCAGGAGGTTGAGGCAGCAGTGAGCTGTTGATTACACCACTGCACTCCAGTCTGGGTGACAGAGCAAGACCCTGTCTAAAAGAAATAATAAAATAAGTAAATAAGTTTGATTTATAAAAATGTATCCTGGCCAAACGCGGTGGCTTATGCCTGTAATCCCAGCACTGGGGGAGGCCAAGGTGGGAGGATCGCTTGAGTCCAGCCTGTGCAACATAGTGAGACCCTGATTTTACAAAATAATAATAATAATAATAATAATAATAATAATAATAAAAGGAATCTCTAAAAACACACAGGGGCAGGAGAGTTCTAATATTTTCTTATGTTCCTGAGTCCTATCTAAATTGCAGAATACAAGAAAGTAGTCCTTACATGTATATAATGCCTTTGACTGGCATTAGTACAGTCTTCTTTAACTTTATGTAGAGGATTCTATGTCTCCCATCCCCTAAAACCTAGTCAAATGGAAGCTAAGCAACTTCCTTGCGTTAAAGTTTATAAAGTTTATTTGCCATTCAAATGTAGTTTACCTTCTGTCCTTCTCCTGTAACTAGGTAACACCTTCCCAGCATAAATCGACAGGAACCAACATTGACTTGACACCAGGGATGTAGCAGTTGAATATAATCCTTAAAGGCATAAAAGGTGCTTTCTGATTAGAAAATAAATGTTACTTAAGGAGATACTCATTCCCAAGTTATTCGTCACAGAGGATGAAAAGACAGTGTTTGAACAAATGTTTTATTTCCTGACATAATTCTGATATTAAAACCTACCCCTGTTGCCTTCCTTCTTCATCCATTCCCCCTTTCCTTACACAAACAGGAGTCCAGTAACACACATACACATACTTTACATCTCAGCAATTTTCCAATTTTTGGTATTTATTGGTTCAATGACTAGATTCCAGTAAAGGATTTATATGAAAACAATAGTACATTTGAATTACTATGAAGAAAACCTAGCAGAGACAAATTCTTAAAAAGACACTCTAGAGGCCAGGCACGGTGGCTCATGCCTGTAATCCCAGCACTCTGGGGAGACGGGTGGATCACCTGAGGTCAGGAGTTCGAGACCAGCCTCGCCAACATAGTGAAACCCAGTCACTACTAAAAATACAAAAATTAGCTGGGCGCGGTGGCACGTGCCTGTAATCCCAGCTACTCGGGAGGCTGAGACAGGAGAATTGCTTGAACCCAGGAGGTGGAGGCTGCAGTGAGCCAAGATCATGCCACTGCACTCCAGCCTGGGCAACAGAGTGAGACTCCGTTTCAGGAAAAAAAAAAAAAGATACTCTAGAAAAAATCACGTTAGGAATTATACTGTCCAGAGAGAAGTAGAGAAAAATCTCTCTCTTTAAAAATTTATTTTATTACTTTCTTTAAAAGCCTTTAGAACCAGGTATTCTCTCAGCCAAGTACTAACCATGCCCAACCCTATTTAGCTTCGTAGATCAGACAAAATCAAGCAAGTTCAGGATGGTATAGAAATAGAGAACAATCTCTTTGGGGTATGTCTTCACATAATCAAGTTTAAATTATTGTGGTTCTTTAAAATGCAGTTAACATTTACAAAGAAAAAAATTCAGCAATCCCATGCTTTACAAGAATGTGTAGACATGAAATGTTCAAAGGAACTCACCTGCAATTGTACATATTGGCAATTTCCCATCAAACATTCTAGAAAGAGACAACCAGGATTGCTAGGCCATCTAGTCATTGGTTAAGGATATTTCTTAATTTTTGTTGGCAAATCTTAAACATATACATTGGGCATCAAATTCAGAAAAGTCCATAAAATAGCTTAATTTACATAAACAAGGCAGAGAAGTTGGCCAACCACATGTTCTTTCATCATCACTAGAATACAGTTAAACAGTTACTTTTATACCAGGAGACTTGTTATAGTGCTTAGAACTCAGATAACTATGGAATAAAGCATCTATTTCACCAGGCACGGTGGCTCACTCCTGCAATCCCTGTACTTTGGAAGGGTAAGGTGGGAGGACTGCTTGAGCCCAGGAAATCAAGACCAGCCTGGGCAACACATAAGAGTCCTGTCTCTAAAAATAAATAAATTTTTAAAAGCCTGTATTTCATTCCTGGGTGTTCATTTTCAATTCCAGCTGGTGTACCGCAGAACACAGTATTGGTGCCAGTGGACATCCAGCACATAACATGGTACCTGGCATATAGAGTCATTCAATAAATATTTGTTGAATGAATGTCTTTTTTTTTTTTGAGACAGAGTCTCACTCTGTCGCCAGGGCTGGAGTGCAGGGGCATGATCTCAGCTCACTGCAACCTCTGCCTCCAAGGTTCAAGTGATTCTCCTCCCTCAGCCTCCTGAGTAGCTGGGACTACAGACGCATGCCACCAAGCCCAGCTAATTTTAGTATTTTTTTGTAGAGGCGAGGTTTCACCATGTTGGTCAGGCTGGTCTTGAACTGCTGGCCTCAAGTGATCTGCCCGCCTTGGCCTCCCAAAGTGCTGGGATTATAGGCATGAGCCATTGCAGCACCCAGCCAAATGAATAATGTCTTTTTTTTTTTTTTTGAGACGGAGTCTCACTCTGTTGCCCAGACTGGAGTGCAGTGGCGCAATCTCGGCTCACTGCAAGCTCCGCCTCCTGGGTTCATGCCATTCTCCTGCCTCAGCTTCCAAGTAGCTGGGACTACAGGCGCCTGCCACCATGCCTGGCTAATTTTTTTTTGTATTTTTAGTAGAGACAGGGTTTCACCGTGTTGTCCAGGATGGTCTCGATCTCCTGACCTCGTGATCTGCCCGCTTCTGCCTCCCAAAGTACTGGGATTACAGGCGTGAGCCACTGCGCCTGGCCGAATAATGTCTTAAAACAGACCTAGGTATTTCATTACATAGGCAGAATAAGAACCTTAGACTATTTAGATAGAAGAGAGCTGCTTTTTTTTTTGAGAAGGAGTCTTGCTCTGCCGCCTAGGCTGGAGTGTGGTGGCGCGAGCTTGGCTCACTGCAACCTCCACCTCCCAAGTTCAAGCAAGTCTCAGCCTTCCGAGTAGCTGGGATTACAGGTGCAGGCCACCACGCCTGACTAATTTTTGTATTTTTAGTAGAGGTGGGGTTTCACCATGTTGGCCAGGCTGGTCTCGAACTTCTGGCCATAAGTGATAAACCTGCCTCCACCTCCCAAAGTGCTGGGATTACAGGTGTGAGCCAACATGCCCGGCCAGAAGAGAGCTTTTCACTGGCTTCTAAATAAAAGGATACAAAAGCTGCAATAAATAACTGGTAATTGCAGTAATCATTTCAGGCCAATTCAATCCAGTTTGGCTCAGAGGTGCCTTTGGCTGAGAGAAGAGGTGAGATATAATGTGTTTTCTTGCAACTTCTTGGAAGAATAACTCCACAATAGTCTGAGGACTAGATACTTAAAAAGAAAAAGTTATGACAGTTTTGTGTAGTGGTAATTATCAATTTTCAATTAAAATAGTCTATCAATTCATTTTATGCTTGTAACAAACAATTTAGCACTTCAAAACAGAAAATGTATCACGGGTATATATCCAGTGGCAATATAAATAAAAGTAGTCTGTAAATTGTGAGGCACTATAAAAATGCAATAAAAACACCATTCACATCAAAGTTATAGTCATTTCTTTTCACTGATCTCACAAGACTTAAGTGCCTTCCCTAGAAATTCTTCATGATAAATACAATTAGCCCCAGGATTTCAACTTTTATACCAGAACAATACAAAATAAATTCTCCAGAATAATGGTTTTCAAACATGAGGGATACTTTTAAATATCTGTTGACTAAGATTACAAAAGTTACCATGAACGAATAAATTTTTAAATGATTTTGTTAATCACTGGAGCATCAAAACAGAATGGGAAAGCAGCTATACACACACACACACACACACACACACACACACACACACACACACACACACACACACACACACATATATATACCATATCCTTAACATATGCCTGATCTGGTACTACAGTTTCACAGACCCCATGCCACAAACGGAGATCTCAGGCCACAGCTTACTCATGCCTTCTGAAAGCAAAGAGCCTAGCCAACCTTTCTATGGCAAAGGTGGCAAAAGACCACTTTAATGAATATGCAATAAATCCCCAGTTTAAAATGAAATGTGTACATAGTCCACTCCTTACCAAACCTATTTGCCATTAAAGCACCAGAGTCTGTTAATTCCAGTACTGATAAGTGTTGGAGATTAGACTCCCTGTGAGAAAAGGGGAAAAGACAGCTTAGTAAATTCTCCTATGCTAAACATTACTTCTACAAGCTCTTCTACGAAGAACACTGTCAATTTAATTAATAAATTGCACATAAAAGCTCCACTGAAAGCACAAAAAAAATTGGAAATCATTATAATATAGATTGTTGCCCATAATATCACTTCGTGACCCTTCAATGAGGAGCCAGAGCAAACAGGATGGTTTATCTTATTGAAAATGTGAATCTCGGCGGGGTGTGGTGGCTCATGCCTGTAATCCCAGCACTATGGGAGGCTGAGGCGGGTGGATCACCTGAGGTCAGGAGTTCAAGACCAGCCTGGCCAACATGGTGAAACGCCACCTCTACTAAAAATACCAAAAATTAGCCAGGTGTGATGGCAGGCGCCTCTAAACTCAGCTACTCTGGAAGCTGAGGCAGCAATATTGTTTGAATCAGGGAGGTGGAGGTTGCAGTGAGCCGAGATCGCACCATTGCACTCCAGCATGGGCAACAAGAGCGAAACTCCATCTCCAAGAAAAAAAAAAAAGTGAATCTTGTAATTCTTGGATTTGGCTATAAAGAAGCTCAGCCTACCTAAAGTAACAAGCGTAACATTTTGTGTATGGTCTTTCCTTCTGGTTTCATCGTATTTTATATTCAACATAATTTATATGTACACACAAACGTGTAGTACATAAGTATAATACATAATTTATTTGTACACATACATACAGTCTATGATTACATGTGACTTATTTTCATTCTTATAAGTTGCCTTCAACCTGTAACAAATAAAGGCACCAAAAAGCTCTCTGAATCTTAATGGCATATAATTTTACGGCATCCTGTTAAAAATCTTTTTCCCGGCTGGCGTGGTGGCCCACGCCTGTAATCCCAGCACTTTGGGAGGCCAAGGCAGGCAAATCACCTGAGGTCAGGAGTTTGAGACCAGCCTGGCCAACATGGTGAAACCCCATCTCTACAAAAGTACAAAATTAGCTGGGCATGATGGCAGGTGCCTGAAATCTCAGCTACTTGGGAGGCTGAGGCAGAAGAATCACTTGAACCTGGGAGGCGGAGGTTGCAGTGAGCCGAGATCATGCCATTGCACTCCGGCCTGGGTGAGAGAGAGCGAGACTCTGTCTCAAAACAAAAACAAAAACAAAAACAAAACACTAAAACTTTTTCCCTTTAAGACAAGGGGAAAAATAATTAAACTCACAATTTACATTTTAAATAATTGGGATAATGAAACTCACAGTGTGTCAAGTGGAACATCAGTTGCCAAGCACTCACTTCCCCATTTAATGAGGTAATAAGATAAGAGTAGGGGAGCTGTTCGATGTAGTAGGTCTTGCTGAGCTTGAAAGAGCTGACCAGTTCCCCAAATCACCTATACATTATGGGTAGGTGGACCAGACAAGAAATTATAGCAATTAGTAATGGTAACTCTTACGGCTCAGGTGGAGGTAAAATAAAATAACAAATACAAAGGTCACAATACTGTAAAAGCAACACGTTTTACATTTTACGGTAGCAAGTGGCAAAATATCTTCCCAAACATTAACAGTCAAAAAATAATCAAAAACAGCTCACCAAGTAACGGAAGCTCATGATGAAAAGAAACCAACAATAAAAAGCTTAACTTTCATTAAATCTGTGGGTTCAGAATTAAAGAAGAGGGCCAGGCACAGTGGCTCACACCTGTAATCCCAGCACTTTGGGAGGCTGAAGCAGGCAGATCACTTGACCCAAAATTTCGAGACCAGACTGGACAACACAGTGAAACCCCGTCTGTAGTAAAAATTACAAAAATTAGCCAGGCATGGTGGTGGGCGCCTGTATTCCCAACTATTTGGGAGGCTGAGGCAGGAGAATCGCTTGAACCCAGGAGGCGGATGTTGCAGTGAGCTGAGATCGCGCCACTGCACTCCAGCCTGGGTGACAGAGCAAGACTCCGTCTTAAAAAAGAAAAAAAAAAATTAGCCTGAGTGGTGGTATGTGCCTGTAGTCCCAGGTACTCAGGAAGCTGAACTGAGCCCAGGAAATCAAGGCTGCAGTGGGCCGAGATTGAGCCACTGCACTTCAGCCTGGGCACAACAGAAGTGAGAACTTGTCTCAAAAAAAAAAAAAAAAAAAAGAATTGAAGAGACACAGGGAAATCTAAATTCTCTCATATACTGCTGGTGCTGGGTAAAAAAACAGGTATGACCATTATTATAAGCAAATTTGGCAGTACTACCAAAAGCCTTAAAATGTGCATTACCTGTAGACCAAATTCTAGTTTTTAGAACTTATTCTAGAGATATAATTAAAGATGTACAGAAAGTGGCCAGGCACGGTGGTTGACACCTGTAATCCCAGCACTTTGTGAGGCTGAGGCAGGCAGATCACTTGAGGCCAGGAGTTCGAGACCAGTCTGGCCAATATGGCGAAACCCCATCTCTATTAAAAATATAAAAATTAGCTGGTGTAGTGGTGCGCATCTGTAATCCCAGCTACCTGGGAGGCTGAGATATGAGAATTTCTTGAACCCAGGAGGCGGAGGTTGCAGATTGCACCACTGCACTCCAGCCTGGGCTACAGAGCAAGACTCTCAAAAAAAAAAAAAAAAAAAAAAAAGATGTGCGGAAAATTATGGACATAAAGGAAAAACTGGCAACAAAAAGAAAAATGTTGAGATTTATAAAGTGGAAGAACAGAACAACCAGATTACAAAAAATACTATGTAGTTTATTTAAATTTCACAAACAAACCAAAAAGAATGTGCATGGAAAAAAACGTATATAGCAAAATTTAAGTAGTAATCACTGGGTAGAAAATTATAAATTTTTTAAATTTTTGCTTATATATATTTTGTAAAGGTTCTACAATGAATATCTTATTACTTCTGTGTTCAGAAAAATTGACAAAAGTTATAATTTAAAAAACAAAAAACCTGAAAAAAATGGAAGAATCTACATAGATCAAAAAGAACTTAGTAAAGGCTAACCAACCTAACAGACTTTCAGGAAAGGTTCATTTTTCAACTTGGTGATCTTAAACAAATTATCTTCCCAATTTTTTTTTTCTTTTTTTTGAGATAGGGTCTCACTCTGTCATGCAGGCAGAAGTGCAATGGCGCAATCACAGCTCACTGCAGCCTCAACCTCCCAGGCTCAGGTAATTCTCCCATCTCAGCCTCCCAAGTAGCAAGGACTACAGGCTTGCTGCACCATGCCCGGCTAATTTTTGTATTTTTTTGTAGAGATGAGGGTTTGCCCAGACTGGTCTCAAACTTCTAGGCTCAAGCAACCAGGCCACCTTGGCCTCCCAAAGTGCTGGGACTATAGGTATGAGCCACCACATCTGGCCTTTTTCTTACTCTTGCTTGAAATTCTACCATTAGCGATGTATCTGGGTTTATAATTTCTTTTTTTTTTTTTTTGGAGACAGAATCTCGCTCTGTCACACACGCTGGAGTGCAGTGGTGCAATCTTGCCTCACTGCAAACTCTGCCTCCTGGGTTCAAGTAATTCTCATGCCTTAGCCTCCTGAATGGCTGGGATTACAGGAGTGTGCCACCAGACCCCGCTAACTTTTTTGTTTTAATAGACATGGAGTTTGGCCATGTTGGCCAGGCTGGTCTCGAACTCCTGGCCTCAAGTGATCTGCCCACCTCAGCCTCGCAAAGTGCTGGGATTACAGGTGTGAGCCACTGTGCCCAGCCTGAGTTAATACATTCTGACTTAAAATGTATAAGTACATTTATACATTTTAAGTCAGAATTAAAATGGGAGCCCCAAAGGACTTTTGGCTATTTACACATTAATATGAATTGGTTTAATTAGATTCCTTCTTTGACAGGCTCAAATGAGATTACTGACTTAGAAAAAAATGGGATGTCTGACTGTGGGGAGAAAAATAATTTCTTAGCATGGGACATTCAGTAGGGTGGGTGATTAGGACTATATATTAGCAACAAGAGTCTGGTGGTCTAAGAAGAACAGAATGAAAAAGAAAGCACAGAATAGAGTTAGGAGGACCACAAAGATAAACCTGCATCTCAAAACTGTGTTTAGGGTAAGCCTTGCACTGTAGAGAGTTCTTAGGTTGGGCAAGGTGGCTCATGCCTGTAATCCCAGCACTTTGGGAGGCCGAGGTAGGTGGATCACCTGATGTCAGGAGTTTAAGATCAGCCTGGTCAACATGGTGAAACCCTGTCTCTACTAAAAATACAAAAATTAGCCGGACACGGTGGCACGCACCTGTAATCCCAGCTACTCAGGAGGCTGAGGCAGGAGAATTGCTTGAGCTGAGATAAGGCCACCACACTCCAGCCTGGGCAACAGAGCAAGATTGTCTCAAGAAAAAAAAAAAAAGAGAGAGAGACAGGAAAAAAAAAGAGTTTTCTTTTTCTTCCTCCATACTAAAGGGTATGCTTACCACATTCATAGTTACTAATAATACTACATTTTGGGAGAGCCAACTTGGGAAAATTTTCCACTACTACACATACAAAGGTTAAGAGTAAAGCAATCTGCTTCATGTATGTTTTTTAAAATCTACTGTTAAGTTCCAGGGTACATGGGCAGGATGTGCAGGTTTGTTACGTAGGTAAACGTGTGCCATGATGGTTTGCTGCACAGATCAACCCAACACCTAAGTATTAGGCCCAGGATCCATTAGCTATTCTTTCTGATGTTCTCCCTCCCCACCGTCCCCTCCATATATGCTCTTAATCTATACTCTCACAAGGATTACAATGCTTATTCATTCTTAATTCAAAAATATTTATAGAGCATCTCATAAGGCCAAGCTTGGGAGAATAAAGCAGTGAACCAAGACAAAAGTATCTGTGCTAGTAGGGCTGACATTTTGCTCCTAAGTGCTTGTAGGCCTATAACAGGTTTTAGATTTTACAAGTTTTCCCTCAAGCAGTACTTACAGCATCTCCAAGCCTCATTAACAGCTGCTGTAAGATCAAAAGATCTCTGCAGATCAGGAAACGAGTACTGGCGATTTTATGCACCCCTCTGCACACAATATACCCTGCTGTGTTACTACCATAGAGCTGGGTAAGATTCATTCGAATATTCAAAGGCTGAGCTGTAAAAAGAAGAAAAATGGAGTTGAATGCATCATTGTTTTAATCAAAGAGGCACATTTGTTGTTCTGTCATTTACCTGGATTGAATCCCTTTTCCATTTCCACTTCTGTTTCATAATCCATTTCCCGTATAAGTAGTCCAATTGCATGGATTGGGTTCCTAATCTCTTGCAGTTTACTACAAATATCCTCCATCACATTTTCTCTATAAGGACAATTACAAAACTCTTATTACTACCGAGAATACGTAAGGCAAGTTCTATATGTCCTATAAGCTAAATACATTATGAAACAAGAGAACCAGATAAAGGAATGAAGATAATCACTCTGGCATATAAGATACAGTCCCTATGCATAGCAAATTTCCTCTCAGTTTTTCATAAACAACACACAAAACAAACATGAGAAGAACACTTTTGCTTTTTAGAATTTTTAGCTCGGTTAATTGTTAAAGCATATTTTATAAGTCTATTTCTAGACTTGAAGTCGTGTTAAATTTTCTGTTAAAAGTAGAAATATGTACTTAGAATCATGGCGCATCAGTTTGACTTTAAGCTACTATTCTGTACGCTCTGGAACATACATTAAAATTCCAACTTTGGCGCTAAAAATGCTGAATTTCCATTAGGAAATGCACTTTACCCTAATTCTCCTTACACATCAATAGTGATCATATCTTCCAGAATCTGCTCTGCAGCCTTTTCCGGAGACTGTAGGTTATAACAACTCATTTCCATTATAACTGACATATCCACAGTTACTGACTCTTCAATCAGCCGGAGGCATTTTATAAGACATATGACATCCCGAGCGATGTCCACATCTACAAATAAGAGAAAGTTAACATTTATGTCTTAAGCCAATGACAATCTATTGATTGATATTACATTAAAATGTTAATAATTAAATGACAAGAAATCTATCTGAGGTCTCAGAGATGCTTTGGTCTCTTAAGTGTTCATTAAAATATTTGTGGTGTGGTAAAGTGACCAAGACAGGTGTGGCAATCGATATTTTTTGTATCCATGTGAAACGAAGCATAGGGTTTATATAGGAAGGGGATTAAATATGGACATAACAATTACTATTACCATCAGATATGGTTGTCTCATCTTCTGTCAAAAGGTTCTCATAAGGCAGGAGATACAAATGATCCACTAAGGATGAGGGAATAAGGAAAGACAGGTACCCCTGGAAATACAAATTTTCCAGTTACATTTTTGTCAGTAAAATTTTAAAGGTATAAAATAATTGAGATGTGCATCTTATCATGAGGCAAACCCAAGTTGCAATACACTCTATAAAATAATAGGTGTAAGTCTTGGCTGGGCACAGTGGCTCACATCTGTGATCCCAGCAGTTTGGGAGGCTGAGGTGGGAGGATCACTTGAGCCAAGGAGTTCAAGACCAGCCTGGGCATCATGATGAAACCCCATCTCTAAAAAAAAAAAATTAGCCAAGTGTGGTGGCACACAGCTTTAATTCTAGCTGCTAGGGAGGCTGGGGTGGGAGGATCACCTGAGCCTGGGAGGTTGAAGCTGCAGTGAGCCTTAAGAGTGCCACTGGGCCGGGCGCAGTGGCTCACGCCTGTAATCCCAGCACTTTGGGAGGCTGAAGTGGGTGGATCACGAGGTCAGGGGATCGAGACCATCCTGGCTAACACGGTGAAACCCCGTCTCTACTAAAAATACAAAAAATTAGCCAGGTGTGGTGGCGGGCGCCTGTAGTCCCAGCTACTGGTGAGGCTGAGGCAGGAGAATGGCATAAACCCAGGAGGCAGAGGTTGCAGTGTGTTGAGATCGTGCCACTGCACTCCAGCCTGGGTGACAGAGCGAGACTCTGTCTCAAAAAAAAAAAAAAAAAAAAAAAAGAGTGCCACTGTACTGCAGCCTGGGTGACACAGCAAGACCCTGCCTCAAACAAACAAACAAACAAACAAACAAAAAAAAGAAACAAGCATAGTCTTCAAATAACATCATTCTCATGAAAGACAAAGAAACGCTGATAACAGTTTGAGGTTAAGCTAAAGAGACACAATAACTAAATACATATATTAGATTGGATCCTGGACTTTGGGAGGCCAAGGTGGGCGGATCACCTGAGCCCAGGAATTTGAGACCAGCCTGGTCACAACATGGCGAAACTCCGTCTCTATTAAAAATACAAAACTAGCCAGGTGTGGTGGCGCGTGCCTATAATCCCAGCTACTCTGGAGGATAGGCAGGAGAATCGCTTGAACTCAGTAGGCGGAGGTTGCAGTGAGCCGAGATTGCACCACTGGACTCTAGCCTGGGCGACAGAGCAAGACTGTCTCAAAAAAAAAAAAAAGATTGGATCCTGGATCAGGAAAAAAAATTATGGGCACAATTGGCAAAATCTGAATATAAACTATATATATATATATGTTATATTTGGCAAAATTTGAATATAAGCTGTATAATATTATGTCAATATCAAATAACCTGATTTTTAAATTGGGCTGTGGTTATTTAATATCTGTGTTCTTAGATACATGCTGAAATATTTAAGGATATTTAAGGATAAAGGAGCATGATATCTACAACTAACTTCTCAGTAGTTCAGGAAAAACTGTTTAGAGAAAGAAGAAAAGCATATGGAAGTTAACAAATGATGAATCCAGATGAAGGGTATACAGGAATTCTTTGTGCTATTCTTGTAACTCTTACCTTAAGTTGGAAATTACTTCAATATAAAAAGTAAATAGGCCGGGTGTGGTGGCCCACGCCTGTAATCCCAACACTTTGGGAGGCTGAGGCGGGTGAATCACCTAAGGACAGGAGTTCAAGACCCACCTGACCAATATGATGAAACCCCACCTCTACTAAAAATACAAAAATTAGCCGGGTGTGATGGTGTACACCTGTAGTCCCAGGTACTCAGGAGAATTGCTTGAATCCCAGAGGCGGAGGTTGCAGTGAGCTGAGATCACACCACTGCACTCCAGCCTGGGTGACAGAGCAAGACTCCAACTCAAAAAAAGAGAAAAAAAGAAAAAGAAATAAATACAATAAAATACAAAAAAAGTATAGAGAATAACACAGAAAACTATTTAAATGAATGAATCACAATTTTAGGGGAAAAAATACAAATGCAAAGTCCTAAATGCTAACCGCAACATTCACCAGACTAACATTCGGCAAGAGCCACTGAACTTTTTGTTTTCTGAAGGCATTTTGTTATAACAGCCACTGAACTGTCTCAAGAAGGTCTTCTCTATGCTTTAGCTCACTTACTTTTTTCAGCAGGCACACCATGTTTGTGTGTGGATTCAAATGTAGGGCAAGAGGGTGAGAGAGGGCTTCTTGATACTGAAGACAACAGGCATAGAACTTGCACCAGAATTCTTGTTGTAAATTTCGAAACTCCTCCTGGGAGAATTCATACTCTGTTACACTTCCTTGAAGCTGGCAAAGAAGAAATGAAAGAAATTAAACTTTTGATGCCATTCAGGATCTTTGTCCACAAAAAACATAATTGTCCAATATCATTATACTAAGCTACAGCCAAATGAATATTCCTTACGTATTAAAGGCCATAGACTATGCAAATGTGTATCTGATTCTCTAGTTAAAAGGTTTAAACATTTATATGTTCCAACAAACAAGGTCAAGTGAAGAATTCCAGTAATTCCTCGGTCAGTACCAATCTGCCCTATATCAAGATGGAAGGAATTCTTATTCTTTCTCTACCCAAGCCTCACCTCATTTTCAACAGCTAAAGTAACTTCTTTCTTCAGTTCACTCCAGGAAAGATCCAAATTCCTCTCAGTTCCTCGGCAGAAAATCTAACATTAAAAGACATTTTAGACTTCTATATAATAGCCAAAACTGAATGGAAAACGTTTCAGTTTAGAAGACATAGAGGCAATATAAAACTATATAATAGAGATTTGGCATACCTGGAACACACATCACCCAAGAGAAAGTTAAGAAACTGGGTGTATTTAGTCTGGAGAAAGGTGACCTGGAAAGATTCTTAAAATACTTGAAGGGTTGATTTATAGAAGAGAGGCTTCCTTTTCAATGACACAGTTTGGGAATAATAACTCCCACAAGAGGTAGTGACAAAGTGGTCAGTGGAGGTAGAGACAATTAAAGGCTGAATAACTATCACAAAAGCCTCAGAAGGCATTTCTGTTTTATGTGGGAGGTCAGTCTAAAATATTCTAATATAATTTTCAATTATATGAGTTATTGTATTTTAAATCCATCCATGAAGCTAAGTAGTAATTTAAAGAAGCCTATGCAAGCTGGGTGTGGTGGCTCATGCCTATAATCCCAGCACTTTGGGAGGCTGAGGCGGGTGGATCATTTGAGGCCAGGAGTTCGAGACAAGCTTGGCCAATATGGCAAAACCTTGTCTCTACTAAAAACTACAAAAATTAGCCGGGTGTGGTGGCATGCGTCTGTAGTCCCAGCTACTTGGGAGGCTGAGGCAGGAGAATCACTTGAACCCAGGAGGCAGAGGTTGCAGTGAGCCAAGATCGTGCCACCGCACTCCAGCCTGGGCAACAGAGCGAGACCCTGCCTCAAAGGGAAAAAAAAAAAAAAAGTCTATGTAACTTTTTGTTGTTGTTTTAATAGAGATGGGAATCTTGCCATGTTACCCAGGCTGGTCTTGAACTCCTGAGCTCAAGCAATCCACCCCCTTGGCCTCCCAAAGTGCTGAGATTACAGGTGTGAGCCACTGCACCCAGCCAGAAGCCTTTGTAACCTTAAAAAATCCTTTCAGTTTTTTTTTTTTTTTTTAAGATAGGGTGTCACTCTGTTTCCCAGGCTGGAATGCAGTGGCATGATCAAGGCTCACCATACCCTTTACCTCCTGGGCTAAAGCAGTCCTCCAACCTAGGGCTCCTGAGTAGCTGGGACCACAGGTGCATGCCACCACACCTGGCTATTTTTCTATTATTATTATTTTTTTTAGAGATGGGGTCTCCCTCTGTTGCCCAGGCTGCTCTCAAACTCCTGGGCTCAAGTGATCTTCCCTCTTCAGCCTCCCAAAATTTTGGGATTACAGGTGTGAGTCACTACCGTTGGCCAAAGAATCCTTTTGTAAAGCACTGGGCTTCTCTTATACAATGAATTTGAAGCCAAAAACTTTTTTTTTTTTTTTTTTTGAGACAGAGTCTCACTCTGCCGCCAGTTTGGAGTGCAGTGGCGCAATCTTGGCTCACTGCAACCTCTGCCTCCCGGGTTCAAGAGATTAATTCTTCTGCCTCAGCCTCCCGAGTAGCTGGGACTATAGGCGTGTGCCACCACGCCCGGCTAATTTTTGTATTTTTAGTAGAGACGGGGTTTCACCATGTTGGCCAGGATGGTCTCGATCTCTTGACCCCGTGATCCATCTGCCTCAGCCTCCCGAAGTGCTGGGATTACAGGCGTGAGCCACCACGCCCGGCCTAGAGTTTTCTTGAATCTGAACCAAGTCAGACCTTCACTGTCCTAATAAAAAGGTTAAAACAGTATAACCAAAACTAAACAAAAAACCACTTTAAGTTTCTCTCAAGTACAGAGATTCTATACAGTGCAGTATGGTATCTTTTTACAGTACTGTAGGTAGAGGTTTCTCTTTCTAACTCTGGCATGTGTCACTGATTACTGGGAAAGTGGTCCCCCCTCCAACCTCTCCACCATGAATACTGTATTTAATGGAAAGAACATTAAAAAAATTATAAAAGTATTTACAAACACACATATGTATGAATACAGAAGTACATTCAGTGTTTAATATATGCAAAAACTTAATAGTAATTATATACAGTAATAAAATAAGAAATAGTCTTAAACAAACAGTAAATTTTTTTTGCTGACCTGTAAAGCCTTACATAAAGCTTCATTTGTGAATTGTCCTGGTGTAAAAAGACTTTGCAGATACATCTCCTATTAGAACATTAAAACAAAAGTTACTATTGTCCTAAACAAAATTTGGAATTCAACACATAACACCAAAGTTTGAGTTTCTACTATATGAACATTGCCATTTTGCCCTTCTATATGTGGGCAATAACAGTAGTGCGGTTACATGTTTTCACACTGAAAGTGAAGACTGCAATGTCTTTGAGTCAACTAGAGGTACTATACTTAAAATGGTGTGTTCCTCACGGAGAGCTTCATTGGGTTCCGGCAGAAAACAAGCTTTGTCAAATGCCAATCTTAAATGGAAGAAGCAAATCTAATTGGTGATATACACTGGTAAGAGAACAAGTAAACGAAGCTGGTTTCTACACCATCTATGGTATTCATTTTATGACTCACATGTAAAAGAAATGGAACCAGTAATAATAGGTATTATATGCAAACAAAACAAAACAAAACAAAACAAACAGCAATAAACTCTCACAAGTAGGGAAATGAAGTAGAGAGAACAACATGGAAAAATCTCATATTGCCTAATGATTTTGACCAACTCTCCTAAACCAGATTTGCCCCCAAGTAGTAAATCTGACTAACAGTCATTCAAGTTTCCTTCCTTCTACTGAGATGATAAAATGACCAAAATGAAGGAGAAAAACAACAGTTTTAGTAATCAGCATATGATTTTGGCTTTTAGACAAAAGCCAAGTGCCAGTAGTTAACTGGAACAATAAATAACTACCACCAATAAACTCTTGGGATTAAGAGTGCAGTAATATTCAATTTAAGATTTTTGAAGTATGTTTTCTACTCCTGCAAATAGTCATTGTTTCAGATCCCAAGCCCATAATCTTTAATGTCATTGTAATACTAAGGCATCAACTGAAAGCTTTTTTATTTATCCTGAGGGTGTCCCTTAAAAATGTGGAGATTTGGCCGGGCACGGTGGCTCACGACTGTAATCCCAGCACTTTGGGAGGCCGAGGTGGGTGGATCACCTGAGGTCAGGAGTTGGAGACCAGCCTGAACAACATGGTGAAACCCCGTCTCTACAAAAGTACAAAAATTAGCTGGGTGTGGTGGTACGTGACTGTAGTCCCAGCTACTCGGGAGGCTGAGGCAAGAGAATTGCTTGAACCTGGGAGGCAGAGGTTGCAGTGAGCCAAGATCATGCCACTGTACCCCAGCCTGGGCCACAGAGCGAGACTCTGTCTCAAAAAAAAAAAAAAGATCAAAGTAAATCATTCCCTTATATAACATTTGAGCATCTACTTACTCTGGGGTCTTGATCATCTCTGATGACAATCTCTTCCTCTGGCAGAGGCTGCATAAAAACTGGATTCCACTGACCTGCAACATTACTAGAGACAAAAAAGTCCACCAGTTTATACAGAAATGATCACTAAAAATGAAATGTATGCTGTTGGCAGTATCTGGGCAGGGAGGACCCCATCACGGAACCCGGCAATGACTGCTTCATCAATTCTATTAAAAACATTTTTTTTTAAATAAGAAAGAAAGAAACATTTTTAGCAGAGCCTAGTTTTTATACAAGTTTGCTTACCATGTTTTAATAATTATCTTCCTAAAATTGAAACTCATTGTTTCAGATCTCAAGCCCATAATCTTTAATGTCATTTTAACACTAAGGCATCAAATACAAAGAATAACTAACTTTTATTCTGCATTTATTATTTGCTAGATATTATGCTAGATGCAGTTTTAGACATTATTCATGTATGCCTTATAATTCTTTGAAGGATATAGTACTCCCATTTCACAGATGTACACAGTGAGGCTGAGGGTATATCACAGCTAGTAAGTTGCACAACTAGGATTCCAACCCTGCTCCAACTCTGCAGCCTGTGCTTTCTGACTACTTTGCTCAAATGCCATCTACAAGGAGTGCTTTTTTTATCTTCCCAGGTATGGCCTGAGGTCAATCTGGAGGGCAATCATTCCCAGAATTCTACCTTAGGCTCTAGGGTTATCAGGGACCCAGAGGGTTCAATTAGTTCAGTGGTCTTCAAGCTCTGTCCCAAGGGAGCCTCTACAGATGTTTCAGGGGTTAGACAAGTCTTTGCTTCAAAATGGTTTGTTTTTTATTTTTGGCCAAATTTAGCAGTGGAGGGCTGTATGCCAACTTTAGTGACACTAATGTTAAGTTCTGACAATCCATTATCATGGGACCAGCCAAAAATTGTTTTGTAAAATGTATTTTTAACTACCTAAGGCTTGCAAACTAATATCATCTACATTAAAAAATATTAGATACCAAATATATCTAACATTAGGTACAATCAACATTAAATTGTGTTATAATTTTATACTCATAAAATACTACACATTCATAGCTCACTGAAGCCTGAACTCTGAGGCTCAAGCAATCCTCCTGCCTCAGTCTAATAGGGTGCATCGTGCCACCACACCTGGCTAGTTTATTTTATTTATTTATATTTATTTATTTATTTTTGAGATGGAGTCTCACTTTGTCGCCTAGGCTGGAGTGAATGGCATGATCTTGGCTCACTGCAACCTCCGTCTCCTGGGTTCAAGAGATTCTCCTGCCTCAGCCTCCTGAGTAGCTGGGATTACAGGCACATACCACCACGCCCGGCTAATTTTTGTATTTTTAGTAGAGATGGGGTTTCACCATGTTGGCCAGGCTGGTCTCAAACTTCCAACCTTGTGATCTGCCCACTTCAGCCTCCCAAAGTACTGGGATTACAGGCATGAGCCACCGCACCTGGCCACTAGTTTATTTTTTATAGAGACAAGGTCTTGCTATGTTGCCTGGACAGGTCTTGAACCATGGCCTCAGGCAATCCTCCCACCTTAGCCTCACAAAGTGCTTGGATTACAGGTATGAGCCACTGTGCCCAGCCCTGTTTTAAAATAAATTTGAGAAGCACTGCACTTGTCCAATCTATTTCTCATCTCATGATGAGAAAATTGAAAACACAAAGGCTATAGTATCCTAAGGAAGTTGCAGGAATCAGGAATAGTCTTAGCTTAGAAACAAAGAAAACTCCCAGATTAGAGGTATTTTGGATATGTGCTATCTCTCCCAAGAAATATGACATTTTATCTTAGTCCAACCCCCAAAATTCTCATTTTGTCCTAAAACAAAAATGTAAAAAATAACACAAAATGCACAAGAGGTATTTCAGGAAGACAGTAACAAGACGAAAACCCAGGGCTGAATTATTCGAATGAAAACCCTTGACTTGGTTCTACATAAAAAGCTCCCTTGTCTTTTTTTTTTTTTTTTTTTTTTTGAGATAGAGTCTTACTCTGTTGCCCAGGCTGGAGTGCAGTGGAGCAATGTTGGCTCACTGCAATCTCCGCCTCCTGGGTTCAAGCGATTCTCATGCTACAGCCTTGCCTCCCGAGGAGCTGGGATTATAGGCACCTGCCACCAGGCCCAGCTAATTTTTTGTGTTTTTAGTAGAGACGGGGTTTCTGTTGCCCAGCCTGGTCTCGAACTCCTGAGCTTAAGTGATTTGCCTGCCTCGGCCTCTCAAAGTGTTAGGATTACAGGCATGAGACACGGCGCCCGGCCTCTCGTCTTCTTAGCATGAAATTGCTTGGGGTGAGGTAGGATGACAGAATTAAGTGACCCATACTGTTCAAAGTTGATGTATTTCACTACTGTTTGGTTCTCAGCATCATGCCACAGGGCCCAGATATCCGTGGAAGTTAAGGCAAAGTCAATCAGTGTCTCCTAGGAGGAAATGTGGGAAAAAAAGGGATAAAATAAGAAAGAAAGTAGTAGTTCACGGTGACTTACTTTTTCATCAGTAGGAGAGGTAAATGTATGAAAACAAAACATGGTACCACATGAATTTGGTAAAGTCTAAATGAAATTTTGTTCCATATATCATGAAATAATTCCATTTTAAGACTACAATCCCATTATACCATAACAGAGTTAGTCAATACTTCTTTTTCTTGTACTTATGTGATATGCAAAGGATGAATCAACCTACCTGAGAAGTGAACAGTGAAGAAATATGATCGAGACTATAGCGATTACTCTCAGTGCTCACCAACTGGAAAATGCAGAACTGTTAAAACACAAGATGATCATTTATTACCTGAAATAATCAACATGTTACTTTTCGAAGCAAGGGCTATTACCATTCAGAAACCTTTAAAAAAAAATTTTTTTTTTTTTGAAAGAAGAGTCTTGCTCTGTTGCCCAGGCTGGAGTGCAATGGCACGATCTCAGCTCACTGCAACCTCCACCTCCTAAGTTCAAGCTATTCTCCTGCCTCAGCCTCCCGAGTAGCTGGGATTACAGGTGCCCGCCACCATGCCCGGCTAATTTTTGTATTTTTAGTAGAGATGGGGTTTCACCGTGTTGGCCAGGCTAGTCTCAAACTCCTGACTTCATGATGCGCCTGCCTCGGCCTCCCAAAGAACTGGGATTACAGGCGTGAGCCACTGCACCCGGCCAAAAATTTTTTTTCTTTTCTTTTTTTTTTTTTAATACTTTAAATTCTAGGTTACATGTGCACAACGTGCAGGTTTGTTACATATGTATACATGTGCCATGTTGGTGTGCTGCACCCATTAATTCATTTACATTACGTATATCTCCTAATGTTATCCCTCCCCACTCCCCCTACCCCACGACAGGTGCCAGTGTGTGACGTTCCCCACCCTGTGGCCAAGTGTTCTCATTGTTCAATTCCCACCTATGAGTGAGAACACGTGGTGTTTGGTTTTCTGTCCTTGTGATAGTTTTCTCAGAATGATGGTTTCCAGCTTCATCCGTGTCCCTACAAAGGACATGAACTCATCCTTTTTTATGGCTGCATAGTATTCCATGGTGTATATGTGCCACATTTTCTTAATCCAGTCTATCATTGATGGACACTTGGGTTGGTTCCAAGTCTTTGCGATTGTGAATAGTGCCACAATAAATATATGTGTGCATGTGTCTTTATAGCAGCATGATTTATAATCCTTTGGGTATATACCCAGCAATGGGATGGCTGGGTCAAATGGTATTTACTGCAGAAATGATCCCTGAAAGTATAGTCTTCAAAAATTTTTTCTTTTTCACCCACACAGGCCAGGTAGAACCACTTTATTTTAATGTAGTAAAATACACATAACGTCAAATTTACCATTTTAACTATTTTTAGCAGTGTTAAGTATATTCACACTGTTGTACAACCAATCTATAGAACTCCTTTCATCTTCACCTTGCATAACTAAAACTCTATACTCAATAAACAATTTCCCATTTCCCTTCAATTCCTAGCCCCTTGTAACACCACTTTACTTTGTCTCTATAAATTTGACTACTCTAGGTACTCCATGTAAGTGGAAGGGTCATATATTATTTGTGTTTTTGTGACTGGTTTATGTCGTTTAGCATAATGTCTTCAAGGCTCGCCCATGTAGTAGCATGTGTCAGCATTTCCTTCCTTTTTTCTTTTTTTTTGATAAGGAGCCTCGCTCTATCGCCCAGGCTGGAGTGCAATGGTGCGATCTCGGCTCACTGCAAGCTCTGCCTCCCAGGTTCCTGCCATTCTCCTGCCTCAGCCTACTGAGTAGCTGGGACTACAGGCGCCTGTCACCACGCCTGGCTAATTTTTTTGTATTTTTAGTAGAGTCGGGGTTTCACCGTGTTATCCAGGATGGTCTTGATCTCCTGACCTTGTGATCCATCCGCCTCAGCCTCCTAAAGTGCTGGGATTACAGGTGTGAGCCACTGCTCCTGGCCTTCCTTCCTTTTAAAAACTGAAATATTAAACTGTACGTACATGCAACAGGTTGTTTACCTATTTGTTGTGGATGGACACTTGGGCTGCTTTATCTTATTGCCTATTGTGAGTAATGCTACTATGTATATGGTTGTACAAATATACCTTTGAGACCCTGCTTTCAATTCTTTTGCATATATATATATATATATATATATATATATATATATATATATATACACACACACATAGAAGTGGAATTTCTGGAATATATGGTAATTCTATGTTTAATTTTTTGAGGAACCACTATATTGTTTTTCATAATGGCTGCAGCATTTTACATTCCCACTAGCAATGTACAAGAGTTCTGATTTCTCAACAACAACAAAAGAGTTCTAATTTCTCCATATCCTTGCCAAGACATTTATTTATTTATTCATTCATTCAATTGTAGATATCCTAATAGATGTGAGGTGATTATCTCACTGTGGTAAAAAAAATTATTTGTTGGCTGGGTGCGGTGGCTCACACCTGTAATCTCAGCACTTTGGGAGGCCGAGACAGGTGGATCATGAGGTCAGGAGATCGAGACCATCCTGACTAACACGGTGAAACGCCATCTCTACTAAAAAAAATACAAAAAAATTTAGCCGGGCGCAGTGGCACGTACCTGTAGTCCCAGCTATTCGAGAGGCTGAGGTAGGAGAATGGTGTGAACCCGGGAGGCGGAGCTTGCAGTGAGTCAAGATCGCCCCACTATACTCCAGCCTGGGCAACAGAGCGACTCTATCTCAAAAAAAAATAAAATAAAATAAAAAACAAACTTATTTATTTTTATTTTTAGAGACAGGTCTTGCTCTGTTACCCAAGCTGCAGTGCAGTGACATGATCGTAGCTCAACGTTAACCTCCAACTCTTGGGCTCAAGCTATCTTCCTACCTCAGCCTCCCTAATAGCTAGTAATGCAGGCATGTTCTACCCGACCCAGCTTTTTCTTTTGTTTTTTTTTTTCACGTTAATTTAATTTAATTTATTTTTTGAGATGGAGTCTCGCACTGTCGCCCAGGCTGGAGTGCAGTGGTGTGATCTCGGCTCACTGCGAGCTCCACCTCCTGGGTTCACGCCATTCTCCTGCCTCAGCCTCCTGAGTAGCTGGGACTACAGGCGCCTGCCACCACGCCCAGCTAAGTTTTTGTATTTTTAGTAGAGACAGGGTTTCCCTGTGTTAGACAGGATAGTCTCGATCTTCTGACCTCGTGATCTGCCCGCCTCGGCCTCCCAAAGTGCTGGGATTACAGGCATGAGCCAACCGCGCCCAGCCGGACTTTTATTTTTTGTAGGGACGGAGTCTCACCATGTTGCCCGAGCTAGTCACAAACTCCTGGTATCAAGTGATCCTTCTGCCTTGGCCTCCCAAATTGCTGGGACTGCAGGAGTGAGTTACAGTGCCTGGCTTGATGAACTTTTTAAATAACTTTTTTTTTTTGGAGACGAGTCTCGCTCTATTGCCTAGGTTGAAGTGCAGTGGTGTGATCTCGGCTCACTGCAACCTCTGCCTCCCAGGTTCAAGCAATTTTGCCTCAGCCTCCCAAGTAGCTGGGATTATAGGTCCCCACCACCATGCCCAGCTAATTTTTGCCTTTTTTTTTTTTTTTTGAGACGGAGTATCGCTCTGTCACCCAGGCTGGAGTGCAGTGGTACGATCTCGGCTCACTGCAACCTCTGCCTCCTGGGTTCAAGCAATTCTCCTGCCTCAGCCTCGCGAGTAGTTGGGATTTACAGGCACGCACTACCATGCCCAGCTAGTTTTCGTATTTTAGTAGAGACAGGGTTTCACCATGTTGGTCAGGGTGGTCTCAAACTCCTGACCTCAAGTGATCCACCCACCTCGGCCTCCCAAAATGTTGGGATTACAGGCATGAGCCATACAGCCTAATTTTTGTATTTTTAGTAGAGACAGCGTTTTACCATGTTGGCCAGGCTGGTCTCGAACTCCTGACCTCAGGTGATCTGCCCACCTCGGCCTTCTAAAGTGCTGGGATTACAGGCGTGAGCCACCAAGTCCAGCCTAAATTAACTGTTTTTATAAAGAAAATTTACTGTAAATTGATAAGAGTGATGATGACCCTTATATGCAGCTGTTCACAAAAAAGTATTAAAGAAAAAAAAGCAGCAAAATTCCTTTTTGAGAAACATAGTGTATGAAATATGAAAAAAAATATGTAGTGCTTATATCCATTGTAGCCTGAACCTGTGTTTTAAAACCTACAAATCTCAATCCATTAGTGGGACATAAAATCAATTTAGCAGGTCTCAAACAGCATTAAACAAACAAACAAACAAACAAACAAACAAAAACCCAACAGTCCAAGCTGGTCTTAAATTCCTGAACTCAAATGATCCTCCTGCATCAGCCCCGAGTAGCCGGAACTATACATATGCACCATCAGGCCCAGCCGAAGATCAGTTTTTGTGAAGAAAAAAGAAATAAAATACTATAAGTTCACTATAATCTGGATAGGCTAACAGTGTTACATAGCTGTCAAAAAAGTTATTCTGATTTTAGGCTTCAATGAAGAATCATAATGCTCAAAACAAAGGAAGTAATAGCTCTGCTCAATTTGACACACTCCTGAACTACTACATTCATTCCCGATCTGACCTTTAGAGCAGTGGTTCTCAAAATGTGGTCCACAGATTCCTAGAGGTCCCTGAGACCATTTCAGGGGGTCAGTGAGGTAAAAATCCCCCCCCCCTTTTTTTTTTGAGACAGAGTCTCTCTCTGTCACTTAGGCTGGAGTGCTATGGCACAATCTCCGCTCACTGCAACATCTGCCTCCTGGGTTCAAGCAATTCTCCTGCCTCAGTCTCCCGAGTAGCTGGGATTAAAGATGCCCGCCACCACGCTTGGCTAATTTTTGTATTTTTAGTACAGTCGGGGTTTCACCATGTTGGCCAGGCTGGTCTCGAACTCCTGACCTCAGGTGATCTGCCCGCCTTGGCCTCCCAAAGTGTTGGGATTACAGGTGTGAGCCACTGCACCCAGCCCCAAACCCTTTGCATAATAACACTGCATTATTTGCCTTTTTCACTTTGTTGATATTTGCATCAATGATGCAAAATCAGTGGTGGGTAAAATTACTGGTGTCTTAACATAAATCAAGGCAGTGGGACCAAACTGAACACCCTTTCAAGAGAAAACCACTCAAGAAACTAGGAATAAAGGGGAACCTCCTCAACACAATATAAAGGGCACTTACGAAAAATTCAGGCTGGGTGCTGTGGTTCACACTTGTAATCCCAGCACATTGGGAAGCCGAGGTGGGTGGACTGCTTGAACTCAGGAGTTTGAGACCAGGCAACATGGCGAAACCCCGTCTCTACCAAAAATACAAAAAAATTAGCCATGTGTGGTCGCACACACCTGTGGTCCCAGCTACCTGGGAGGCTGAGGTGGGAGGATCGCTTGAACCTGAGAGGTGGAGGTTGCAGTGAGCTGAGATTGCGCCACTGCACTCCAACTTGGGTGACGGAGTGAGACACTGTCTCAAAAAAAAAAAAAAAATTCACAGCTTACTGTTGCATCACAATGAAAAAAAAAGACAAATTCACAGCTAGCATTATACTTAATGGTGAAACACTGGTAACTTCTCCCTTAGCAATACAAATTAGGAATGAGGCAAAGATGCATAGCATGGCCAACATGGTGAAACCTCTTCTCTACCAAAAAACAACAATATAAAAATTAGCTGGGCATGGTGGCACATGCCCGTGGTCCCGGCAACTCTACTCAGAAGGCTGAGGTGGGAGAATCGCTTGAACCAGGAGGTTGCAATGAGCTGAGAGTGCATTCACTGCGCTCCAGCCTGAGTGACAGAGTGAAAAAAAAAAAGACGACAAAAAAGATGCAGGTTCTTGCCACTTCTATTCAACATTGTACTAGAGGATCTAGCCAGGACAATTAGTACCCACCTCCCTCCAAAAAAATTTTTAAAAACCCTACAAGAAAGAAGGAAAAGAAAAAAAGAAAATGCATCTAGTTTAGAAAGGAAGTAATAAAACTAACTTTTTTATGAGACAGGGTTCCGCTCTGTTGCTCAGGTTGAAGTACAGTGAGGCAATCAGGAATACTGCAGCCTCAACCATCCAGGCTCAAGTGATCCTGCCATCTCAGCCCCTCAAATAGCTGGTACTATAGGAATGAGCCACCATGCTCAGCTAATTTTTGCTATTTTGTAGAGACAGGGTTTCGCCATGTTGCCCAGGCTGGTCTGGAACTCCTGAGCTCAAGCAATCTGCCCACCTTGGCCTCCCAAAGTGCTGGGATTACAGGTGTGAGCCATTGTAATCAAAAGTTTATTTGCAAGTGACATTATCTTGTATAAAGAAAATCCTAATGAATCCATTACAAAATCTATCAGAACTAATAAATGAGTTCAGCAAAGTTGCAAGATACAATTATGAATATACAAAAATCAACTGTATTTCTATCAACTTCCAATGAGCACTCTGAAAATGAAATTAAGAAAATAATTTCGTTTATAATAGCATCAAGAAAATTTCATTTACAATAGCATCAAAAAGAATCAAATATTTAAGAAGAAATTGAACAAAAGTATAAAACTTACACTCTGAAAACTAAAGCATCCCATGTTCATGGATCAGAAGACTTAATATTGCTAAGATGGCAATATTTTATAATATCATCTATAGAGGCAACACAATTTTTATCAGAATCTCAGCTAACTTCTTTGTAGAAACTGACAAGCTGATTCTAAAACTCATATGGAATTGAATGGGACCCAGAATAGCCAAAACAATCTTGAAAAAGAAGAACAAAGTAAGAGGGCTCACACTTCCTGGTGTCAAAATTTCCTACAAAGCAAGAGTAATCAAGACAGTGTGGTACCAGCACAAGGTCAGATATATAGATCAATGGAACAGAATTGAGAGCCTAGAAATAAAACCATGTGTCTGAGGTCAAATGATTTTGAGAAGGGTGCCAAGACCATTCAATGTGTTAAGAACTATCTTTTCAACAAATGGTGCTGAGAAAACTGAATATCTACAAGCAAAAGAATGAAGTTGAATGCTTACCTCACACTATTAAAAAAAAACCCCACAAAACTAAAAAAATGAATCAAAGTCCTAAATATAAAAGCTAAAAGTATAAAACTCTGAGAAGAAAACATAAGAGTAAATCGTTATGACCTTAGGTTTGGCAAAGGATTCTTAAGGTATGACACTATGAACAAAAGCAACAAAAGAAAAAATAGATAATCTGGACTTTATCAAAATTAAAAACATGTGCTTCATGGGACACCATCAAGAAAGTGAAAAGACAGCTCACGTGGTAGAAAATACTACTTGCAAGTCATAAATCTGATTAGAGATTTAGATCCAGAATAATACAGTTACATACTATATAATGATGCTTTGGTATATGGACCACATATACAATGGTGACTCCATAAGATTAAGTTTATAATACCATTTTGTTTGTTTCTTTGTTTTTGAGACAGAATCTTGCTCTGTTGCCCAGGCTGGATGGTGCGATCCCGGCTCACTGCAACCTCCACCACCAGGTTTCAAGCAATTCTCGTGCCTCAGCCTCACAAGTAACTGGGATTACAGGCACGTGCCACCATGCCCGGCTAATTTTTTGTATTTTTATTAGAGATGGGGTTTCACCATATTGGCCAGGCTGGTCTCAAATACCTGGCCTCAAGTGATCTACCCACCTTGGCCTCCCAAAGTGCTAGGATTACAGGCATGAGCCACCGCACTGGCCTGTTTACAGAATTCTTACAATTCAATAACAAAAAAGACAAACTAATTAAAAAATGGGCACATGAGAAGACTGAAGCTGGATCCCTTCCTTACACGATATACAAAAATCAACTCAAGATGGATTAAAGACTTAAACATAACACGCAAAACTATAAAAACCCTGGAAGACAACCATAGGCAATACCATCCTGAACATACGAACGGGCAAAGATTTCAAGACGAAGACACTAAAAGCAATCTCAACAAAAGCAAAAATTGACAAGTGGGATCTAATTAAACTTAAAAGCTTCTGCACAGTAAAAGAAACTTTCAGCAGAGTAAACAGACAACTTACAGAATGGGAGAAAATATTTGCAAACTATGCATCTGACGAGGGTCTGATTTCCAACCTCTATAAGGAACTTAAATTTACAAATGAAAGGCAAACAACCTCATTAAAAAGTGGGCAAAGGACATGAACAGACACTTTTCAAAAAAGAAGTATGCAGCTAACAAGCATATGAATAAAAGTTCACTATCACTGATCATTAGAGAAATGCAAATCAAAACCACAATGAGATACCATCGCACAGCAGTCAGAATGGCTATTAAAAAGTCAAAAAATAACAGATGCTGGTGAGGTTGCAGAGAAAAGGGAACATTTATACAATGTTGGTGGGACTGTAAATTACTTCAACCATTGTGGAAAGCAGTGTGGTGATTCCTCTAAGAACTAAAAACAGAACTACCATTCCACTCAGCAATCCCATTACTGGGTATATAACCCAAAGGAATACAAATCATTCTACCATAAAGACAAATGCACATGAATGTTCATTACAGCACTGTTCACAATAGCAAAGACATAGAATCAACCTAAATGCCCCTCAATGACAGACTGAATAAAACATGGTACATATATATCATGGAATATATGCAGCCACAAAAAAGAACGAGATCATGTCTTTTGTGGAAACATGGATGGAAGTGGAGGTCATTATCCTCAGCAAAATAATGCAGGAACAGAAAACCAAATACCACATGTTCTCACTTATAAATGGGAGCTAAATGATGGGAACTTATGAACACGAAGAAGGAAACAACAAACATTAGGGTCTACTTGAGGGTGGAGGTTGGGAGGAGGGAGTGGAGCAGAAAAGATAGCTATTAGGTGCTGGGCTTAATTCCTGGGTGATGAGAAAATCTGTACAACAAAGCCCCATGACATGAGTTCACCTATGTAATAAAGCTTCACATGTACCCTCAAACCTAAAACAAAAGTTAAAAAAAAAAAGAGCAGCCGAGCGTGGTGGCTCATGCCTGTAATCCCAGCACTTTGGGAAGCTGAGGCTGGTGGATCACCTGAGGTCAGGAGTTCGAGACCAGCCTGGCCAACATGGTGAAACCCCGTCTCTACAAAAACACAAAAATTAGCCAGGCATGATGGCGTGAGCCTGTAATCCCAGCTACTTGGGGGACTGAGGCGGGAGAATCGCTTGAACCTGGGAGGCGGAGGTTGCAGTGAGCCGAGATCACGCCACTGCACTCCAGCCTGGGCAACAGAGCAAGATTCCATCTCAACAACAACAACAACAACAACAACAAAAAAGCAAATGATGTGAATAAACATTTCTCCAAGGAAGAGACACAAATAACCAATAAGCACTAAAAAGATGCTTGGCATCATTAGTTATCAGGAAATTAAAACAAAAACCATAATGAGATAATACTTCATACCCACTAGGATATCTAGAATTAAAAAGTCAGATAACAACAAGTGTTGACAAGTATATAGCAGCAGTATTCATAATAGATAAAGGGTAGAAACAACAATGTCCAACACAAATGAAAAAATTCCAACACAAATGAATAAATAAATGGTGGTATACAACTGAAAATTATTCAGCTATAAAAGGAATTGAAACCACCTTCGCAAAAATCATAACAGTGAGAAAATTATGACAATGAAAGAGGTCTGGGCCAGGTGCAGTGGCTCACGCCTGTAATCCCAGCACTTTGGGAGGCCGAGGCAGGCGGATTACCTGAGATCAGGAGAGACCAGCCTGGCCAATATGGCAAAACCCCACCTCTACTAAAAAAATACAAAAACTTAGCCAGGCATGGTGGCATGCGCCTGTAATCCCAGCAACTTGGGAAGCTGAGGCAGGGGAACTGCTTGAACCTGGGAGGCAGAGGTTGCAGTGAGCTGAGATCGCGCCACTGTATTCCAGCCTTAGTGACAAAGCGAGACTCTCTCTCAAAAAAAAAAAAAAAAAAAAAAAAAAGAGACAGATCTGATCTAATAAATTCCTTTTTTTTTTTTTTTTTTTTTTTTTTGAGACAGAATCTCGGTCTGTCACCAGGCTGGAGTGCAGTGGTGCAATCTCTGCTCACTGCAACCTCCGCCTCCCAGGTTCAAACCATTCTCCTGCCTCAGCCTCCTGAGCAGCTGGGACTACAGGCATGCACCACTACGCCCAGCTAATTTTTGTATTTTTAGTAGAGAAGGAGTTTCACCATATTGGCCAGGAGGGTCTCGATCTCCTGACCTCATGATCCGCCTGCCTCAGCCTCCCAAAGTGTTGGGATTACAGGCGTGAGCCACTGTGCTGGCCCACAAATTCCATCTTGTCTTTAATCTCCAAACTGCCTCTGGTCATTCCTGAGCATGGGCAAGGCTCACCTTGGGAGAAATTTAATTTATAGTTTAAATAATAATAGCCCTTCCCCAAAACCAAACCACCTTGGTAAAACTAATGAAAGGCCACCAGGTTAGGAAGATGAGAGGGGCCCGAATTCATAGTTAAATGATTACCAGTCATTATTCCGGAGGTCATAAGATTTGCAACTTCCCCAATTACTTCTGTAAATAACATCACCATTGTAGCACCTTACACTGGCCTTTTAAAATGTGTTTTCAGTTTTTTACATTTCTGGCCCCAGCCAGATGAGCAACTCTTCTGTGGCCCCGACCCAGAAGCAGACTCAGCGCATAGGATGGTTTTCCACACTCCTACAATTGCATCTCCAACCAGTCAGCAGCACTCATAGCCTCGCCCTGCCTGGCAAACTATCTTTGAAAAACCCTAGCCTCTAAATTTTCAGGGGGGCTGATCTGATTTGAGTTAACAGTAAAACTCCGGTCTCCTGTTTAGCTGGCTCTATGTGTATTAAACTCTCTCTATTCCAATTCCTGTCTTGATAAATCAGCTGTATGTATTGGGCACTTACAGAATGAAGTGCTGACAACACATGCTACATGGATGAACCTTGAAAATATTAAGCTAAGTGAAAGAAGCCAGTCACAGAAAACCACTTATATGATTCCACTGACATAATATGACCAGAATAAGTAACTTTATAGAGACAGAAAATAGATTAGCAGTTGTGTAGAGCTGGGAAGAAATGGGGGAAGGGAAGAATGATAGCTAAAAGGTATGGGGTTTCTTTTTGAGGTGATGGAAATGTTCTAAAGTTGACTATGGTAATGGTTGCTCGTATCTGTGGATATACTAAAACTCATTGAATGGTATACTTTAAATGGGTGAGTGAATTACATCTCAAGAAAGCTGTTTAAATAAATGAATAGGCTGGGCGTGGTGGCTCACACCTGTAATCCCAGCACTTTGGGAGGCTGAGGCGGGTGGATCACCTGAGGTCAGGAGTTCGAGACCAGACTGGCCCACATGGTGAAACCCCATCTCTATTAAAAATACAAAAAATTAGCCGGGTATGGTGGCAGGTACCTGTAATCCCAGCCACTGTGGAGGCTGATGAAGGAGAATTGCTTGAACCCAGGAGGCAGAGGTTGCAGTCAGTTGAGGTCACGCTACTGCACTCCAGCCTGGGTGACAAGAGTGCCAAACTCCATCACAAAAGAAAAAAAAAAAAGAATAAAGTGAACCTGTCATTTCAGGGAAAACAAATGACAGTATTTGTTGCCAATGATACATTTCAAGTTTTAAAGTGAAAACTATGATTTCAGAAAACTTCGTATCCACTAACATGAACTCCAGAGCTTCTCAAGGCTCTTCTGAGTGATCACCAATGATAATATCATCAATGATAATAGTTGTGCAGAAAGGGTTAACATAGCAGGCCTGAGGCTGCTCTCCTTAGAAAGTCTTGCTTGTACTCTGGGAGGCCGAAGTGGGCAGATCACAAGGTCAGGAGTTCGAGACCAGCCTGGCCAATATGGTGGGCACTGTGCCTCTAGCAAGCTTTCCTGGGAAACAACATTTTACACACATCATCACAATTCAGTGCTGGAAGAATTAAGCATGTCCTGTGAGACTCTACTGGGAGGGGACTCTTAGACGATTGTGTCTGGCTTCAGACTTCACTCCATGTGCCTTTTCCCTTTTTTCACTTTGCTTTGTATCTTTTCACTGTAATACATTTTAGCTGTCAGCACAACTACATACT
Source organism: Homo sapiens (assembly GCF_000001405.40). NCBI lineage: Eukaryota > Metazoa > Chordata > Mammalia > Primates > Hominidae > Homo > Homo sapiens. The sequence continues at coordinate 266,376 of NW_019805496.1, forward strand.
GAGCCCTATGAGTCCTTTCAGAGTATTACTGGACATGGAGGTGAGGTGGTCTTGGGGATTACCCCCCAAAACAGTAATTTAGATACTGCATAATATAAAATGTGTCAATCCACATCCAGCCAGTTTTAATTTCTAATAAATTATAGGTATAACCCATATAAACAAAAGCTCTTTGCAGTTCTCGGTAAGAGTATAATAGGGTCCCGAGACCAAAAGTTTGAGAACCACTATTTTAGTGTGACAAACTAATTGTAACATGTCGAGGAGACTGATCAACAGGATGTTACATGAATAACAATGGAAGGAACTAAGGAAGTTAGAGCAGGGTCAATTCTCCTACCACCCACAACCTACATGCAGAGAAGAGTATACTTAGAGGAGATGGATAGGTATGTTCAAATAGTTCAAGGGTTGTCCTCCAGAAGAGAGAATAGAACAATTATGTGCAATCAAGATAAATGTCTTGATAGCATGATACTTTTGGGCCATATTAGGAAAAAACTGCAAGAATGAGCTCTTCCTCTTCCCTTCCATTCTGTTCCTGAGCAATCCAATCTAAAAACCTAGAGCAAGGTAGATATCCTTGCTGGCCAGAAGGTAAGGGTCGGGGACCTGGGGGGTTGGGGTTCGGCATAAGGAGTCAGTCTGAACAGGTTGAAGAGAACATCGGTGCAGGCATGTCCCAGCACAGGAGTGAGAACACTAGTGAGTGAGAAGGGCGTGCATGCAGGGGTGATATGGCCAGGTGTGATGAGGCAAGAGCCTAGGGACATAAGAAGACTGTCCACATTTGGGACTGCCTGACTTCGGGGGGAGGAGCACGAACAGTTTGAGATGGCTTCCACATGGACAGAAAGCTTGGTGCAGGATGGAAACTCAGGTTGGGTGAGGAGGAGGTCCATTGCATGGGGGCAGTCTGGTGGTCTCAGGGCCCAAACAGGGTAAGGAGGGCACCCACATTGGAGGAGCAATGTGGAGTGGGCTATGAGATCCCAACAGAAGTGAGAAGGGCATCCAGGAAGGGCAGTGGCCTAGCGTGGGGACTCAGTGGGGGAATCAGAGCTCCTGCATAGTAAGGGAGACAGACCCTACCTCACTGGGCTGTTATTAGGATTAAATGGATAAAACGCATATAGCATATGAGCCCAGAGTAAGCACAATCCCAGTGTCTGCTATTATTAATGTGCATAAAGGGACTGGCACAGCACCAAACACACAATGCTCAACAAATGGCTGTTTATTAAATGATTACACTATTACATCACATCCTACGTATCTCATCTACAGACAGCAGCTACTGTCTGGATGCTAAGCAAATTTATTTAGAAAAATTAACTTAACACCACATAACACCTACATCCCTTTCAGGAATTCTGTTTTTTCACCTAGAACTCCTAATTTGCTCTTCTTGTTTAGTTTCTGTTAACTTTTCCTTTCATGTTACTTTAAACTCTCTACTTCCTTTCATACTGACCCCTCCTTCAAGATCTTCTAATTCACATAGTAGCACGAAACCCAACCATCACCTCAGAAACACATCTAGGTCGGTGAAAAGAGCTTGAACAGACTCACTGAGTCTACAGCCATTTCTCCACATCAGTACACACAGAATAACTTGGTATGTGTCTTATTTGTTTCATACCTGTCCTCGTTTTGGTGCATGCATGTATATCCCCAGGTAGAGTCCCATGGTGGGGGAATAAGCAAGCCGTAATTTGTGTCCAGTTCCAGCAGTAAGCCGAAGGTCTTTCTTCACAGGGACATACTCCAGCATGTCAGCTACCATTAGGCACATTTGCTCCTGTCCAAGAAAATAGTTAATAGGTGATATTCAAGGGATATTCAGGCTAGAAGAACATACCTTTTGAAAGGATGGACCTTTCATTGTATCTACTGCTCTATCTAGTTTATCTGCTAAAAGACCTTACAGGTTTTTGTTTCAAAAGGGCTAACACAGGCCGGGCGCAGTGGCTCACGTCTGTAATCCCAGCACTCTGGGAGGCCGAGGTGGGTGGATAACCTGAGGTCAGGAGTTCGAGACCAGCCTGGCCAACATAGTGAAACCCCATCTCTACTAAAAAATACAAAAATTAGCCAGGTGCAGTGGTGCATGCCTGTTATCCCAGCTACTTGGGAAGCTGAGGCAGGAGAATCACTTGAACCTGGGAGGCGGAGGTTGCAGTGAGGTGAGACTGCGCCATTGCATTCCAGCCTGAGTGACAGAGCGAGACTCTGTTTCGGGGGAAAATAAAAAGAGGGAGGGAGGGGCTAACATGAAAAACATCTCTTCAGTCTGAAACATAAGATCAGACTTATATAAAATATAAGCTGTATTTTTTAGATGAATCTTGAAAACCATTTTACCAACTTACATTTTAAAAACATATTTGTTGCTCTTAAATGAAAGGTCCAGTCTGGGTAACATGGCAAAACCCTGTCTACAAAAAATACTAAAATTAGCCAGGTATGGTAGCGTGCCCCTGTAGTCCCAGCTATTTGAGCAGCTGAGGTGGGGAATTGCTTGAGCCCGGGAGGCAGAGGCTGCAGTGAGCTATATTCATGCCACTGTACTCCAGCCTGGGTGACAAAGTGAGACTGTTTCAAAAAATTAAAAAATTTAAAAAAAAGTGAAAGGTGTACTTTGTACTACTCTTTCAGTGTTCCTGTTAGGTTGATAATTTTTCCAAATAAAAAGACAGTAAGTTAGGAGGAAAATATATGCAAAATAAAGCTAAATGAAACTGTCTGAATCTGGCAGTGACCAATAAGTTCCAAACCAATTGATCTAATAATCTTTAGAGAAACAGCAAAATTTACTTCAATTCTCATGATTCACAATCCTGTTTTAACTTACAGCAACTATAAATGTAGCACTTACCTTGTAAGACCACATTCGTAGTTTATGATCCTGACACAAAGCAAAGATGAAGGCATCATGCTCCACACAATGAACAGCAAGACTGAGGGGACGATCTGAAGGCGACTGGTCACCCCTAAAACATAAGACCCAGTTTTAGAGTTTTACTGCTGCAAAGAATCTGATCATTAGAATTTGCAATTCAAGAAATATAATAAAATTATAAATGTACACTCTTAGCAGAAGGACCAAGAGCTTATATGCTGGTATAAGACAACTACATTTCTATTTGGTTTATCGCCAATTACTATAATAAAATTTAAAAGGCTCTACATAACAATGGAAGACTGTTTCCTTTTATATTGTTTTCCTGTAACCATCAAAAACTTTCTATTTCTAATAATTTTACACGAAACTGGATTTGGGTAAGTCGGGGCAGAGCACTGAACTGGATATTGTGAGAATATAAACAGGCCGATTTATGCTGACAAGGCATCCAATTGCAGATGAAAGGGACTCGGGAGTGTGGCTTTCCTCAGATGGAATTTAATGTTATTCTGACTGTTCTCCTTTCCAGTATAATGTTTGCCTTGGAATAAGACTGGAAACAATAACTGCCGACCAGTGCAAAAAGATTAAATTCTTGGGCCCTTTGATTTACCTGCCAGACACCACTCACCTGATAGCTGTTGGCATCCAGCCTGTAAGCAATCGTTGCATTACTGAACTCTGTTTCAGTTCCACGACTGACACCATACCTGCAATGATATCCAAGGCACCTCTTGAACACACTTAGAGAAACCCAAAGGCAAGAATGATGTAACCATGAACAAGGTCTTTATAATAGGCAACAGACTTCCGTATTTCTGTACTAACAAAGGTTTAGGATGTAACTTTCCTGCATATATCACACCTAAAATATTTTGAATCATTATTAGATCCATAAAAATAGCATTTTTATACTTCTCATGGAAATTTTTGCCTTTTACAGACAGTAACCCATATTGCCACCCGGCAGAATCACTTCATTCTTTCTAAAACAATCACTAGGTACCTTTCATGTGCCAGGCACAGTTCTAGATGGTAGTGACATAGCAGTAAACAAAACAAATTTTAAAACTCCTGTCCTCCTGGAACTTATATTCCTTTGGGGGAAGGGGAGAAGCAGAGACAGTTAAATTAAGTAGAATGGTAGTAAGTCAGAAAAATAAGACACAAAAGGAGTACAGAGAGTGCCAGGATATAGGGAGGGCAGGCAGGGGCACTGCAATTTTGAAAAGGATGGTCAGGGAAGGCCTCAACAAGGTGACATTGAGTAAAGACCTAAAGGAGCTGAGGGAATGAGCCAAGCTAGTAGCTGACAATACCAAACAAATGCCTTGTTGAAGTAGGGGTGTTCCTGGCATATTCAAGGAATTACAAGAAGGCATGTGGCTGGTGAAGAGGGGAAGAGTGAACAGATGAAGTTGGAGACAGCAGTGGGTCACTCTAGGCCAGTGTAAGGACTCTGGGTTTATTCAGCATAACATGATATATTTGAATCCCACCTTGGGTCATGTTGGCCAGGTGCCGTGGCTCACACCTGTAATCCCAGCACTTTGGGAAGCTGAGGCAGGCGGATCACTTGAGGTCAGGAGTTCGAGACCAGCCTAGTCAATGTGGCAAAACCCCATCTCTACTAAAAATTCAAAAATTAGCCAGGTGTGGTGGTGGACACCTGTAATTCCAGCTACTTGGGAGGCTGAGACATGAGAATCACTTGAACCTGGGGGGGGCGGAGGTTGCAGTGAGCCAAGATGGCACCACTGCATTCCAGCCTGGGTGACAGTGAGACTCTGTCTCAAAAGAAAGAAAGAAAGGCCAGGTGCGGTGGCTCAAGCCTGTAATCCCAACACTTTGGGAGGCTGAGGTGGGCAGATCACAAGGTCAGGAGTTCGAGACCAGCCTGGCTAACATGGTGAAACCCTGTCTCTACTAAAAATACAAAAATTAGCTGGGTATGGTGGCAAATGCCTGTAATCCCAGCTGCTCAGGAGACTGATGCAGGAGAATCGCTTGAACCCAGGAGGTGGAGATTGCAGTGAGCTGAGATCATGCCACTGTACTCCAGCCTGGGCGACAGAGAGAAATCCCATCTCAAAAAAAAAAAAAGAATAAAAGAAAAGTTGTGTCATGTCACTGCACTACATAAAGGACGGCTTTACACAGTGCAGTGACATGACCCAACTTGGGTTTTTCTTTTTGAGATGGAGTTTCGCTCTTGTTGCCCAGGCTGGAGTGCAATGGCACGATCTTGGCTTATCGCAACCTCCACCTCTTGGGTTCAAGCGATTCTCTTGCCTCAGCCTCCCGAGTAGCTGGGATTACAGGCATGGGCCACCATGCCCAGCTAATTTTGTATTTTTAGTAGAGACGGGGTTTCTCCATGTTGGTCAGGTTGATCTCCAACTCCCAACCTCAGGTGACCCACCTGCCTTGGCCTCCCACAGTGCTGGGATTATAGACGTGAGCCACAGCGCCTGGCCCTTGGGTTTTAAATATATCAGTCCACCTGAGAAGTGTCTGAAGAGGGTTAAGACAGATCTGGGGAGATATATAGAAAGCTAATACAATAATCCAGGCAAGACACAGTGGCAACTTGGTGCAGGGTATTTAATGTCTTTGTTTCAATTAATTTAATTATAATGTTATAATGCCTCCATCTCAGGGCAGACAATTAGGCAACCCATCTCTACTACAAGATTTAGAATAGGCTGTCTTATACTTGTCTATTTGTTTTTCCGTGCTCCAATATGCTTTATAGTTCCTTATCCACTGTATAAAAGTAAAGCATTAGGGACTCATTAGGCAAGCAATAATGAATGACCAGTTCCGGGGCAGTAGAGATGCAATCCCTGCATTGGATGACGAGGTTGAACTGTTTCAATGTTAACATTCCTTGTTTAAAGTTAAATCCATGCTCAGTTCCCATTCTTACCAGGTATGTCATAAGGAGGTAGCTTAAGAACAAAGATTCCCCCAGAAGCACATGGTAAGGCAAACAGGGCCTCCCCATCACTGCTGAGCCAGGCTGTAGAGGCGGTGGAATTAGGAGATATTCCAGGTACTGCTGGAATTAACTGATAGTTGCAAGGATCTGTGAAATCAACTTTTCCAATGTCAGTGAATATTGACTGCATCTGACTGTCAACTACCAACTCCTGTTGAGTAATTAAAAAGAAAAATCTATTAAATCAAAATAACCAGAATTTTGCTCAGTTCCTCTCTATTGCTAAAAAAGTTTTTAAAGTAAAAAACTGTCAAGTTTAAGAAAGCTATTCTTCTTAATGAAAACTAATTCTCAACTTAAAATGTATGCCTGATCATTTTAAGCGGTAGCTATCAAAGTATGCTTGGTGAGGGATAACGAGAATCCAAATTTCCTTCAATTCCAAAAGACATCGCTCCAGCACTACATTTGTGACACCCAGAGTAATTTGGGAAATAAAAGATATTGCACTTAGCCAACTTACACTCCTATACATCCGGGAGGGGTGTGGTAAAAGTAACCTGTGCACTGTTTGATTGGTTAACATCAAGATTATCACACGATTCTGAGTCTCAGAGACATAAACCCCTCCAGGTAAAACACTGCAATTTTGGAATTTTAGGCGAATGGCATTATTCAACAGATTTATGTCCAGTGACTCCTCCATCAGCTCCAATGTATCTCCAGAGGTCTTCCTGTTGAAAAAGAGACATTTGTTTGAAAAGTTTATGCTTTTCTCACTGACTGTTCTACTGAAATATATGAGAACAGTGTCCAAGTGAACTCACCAAATTTGAAAATTTTGGATAAACAGATTTGGACCACTTTTGCATGCCAAATCACATTATGTACATTTATAAAAAACAGCATAACAAAATCCAAATTTCACTGTGATTCTGTTACATAGAGACATTTCCAAACTTGATAGGCCATTTATTTAGGACAATATTTTATGCAATTAACTCTACTATAATAAAAATTAACACCATACCCCGGCCATTGCTTGTAGTGGAATGTGGCCTCCATATATACTACAGCATCAAACAAAACTGACCTTAATAATTGCGGTTATTTCCTGTTTCTATTACTTCTTAACCTGCAATAGCATGCATGCGCACACATATACACACACACACACAGAATAGCAATTTTATACATGCGCTTACATGTATGTGCAAAAATATTACAAAAATAAATATTTTAATATAAAAATACCTTCGCAAATTGAACATATCAGGGTTAGTTTCTATACTAAGCTATTCTAACTTTCATTATTACTCCTCAAAAGGAGCTTGTTTATTTATTTTTTTCTTTTTTCCCCCACCCTCCCCAAAAGGAGCTTGTTTATTAATCCCAGCTGAGGAGCAAGGAGCCACTGGCAGCCACAGATCTCACTGCTGCACAGGGTTTTTAGAACTTCAGCCATAAAAATGGGCAGAATTTTCCTTGATCATATTCGTGGTACCTGTCCATTTTCTTATGCAAACTGTGATACAATCCTGACCAACCGCTCAGAATTCATCTCCACTTGGTTCACAGGCGCCACTGGCAGAGCATTTCTTTTTAACAAGGTAGTGAACCTGCAGTACAATGAAGCTCTAGATTGGGTCATGCTCACTGGCCACCACATGGTCCAACATGTGAGCTGAAAAACTGCAGCAGCAAACTGGGATGGATCTACGAGTTTGCCACCGAAGACAGCCAGTGTTACAAGGAAGGCCATGTGATCCTGGAACGTGCTCTAGTTCGAGAGATTGAGGGCTCTAAGGAGCATGTACCATCTGATAATTTTTGTTTGTTTGTTTGTTTTTTTTTTGAGACAGGGTCTCACTCTGTCAGGCTGGGGTGCAGTGGTGCAATCATAGCTCACTACAGCCTCGAACTCCTGGGCTCAGGCAATCCTCCCACCTCAACCTCCTCAGCAGCTGGGACTACAGGTGTGCACCACCACACCTGGCTAATTTTTGTATTTTTTAGTAGAGACGGGGTTTCACCATGTTGGCCAGGCTGATCTTGAACTCCTGGCCTCAAGCCTCCCAAAGTGCTACCTGCCTCGGCCTCCCAAAGTGCTGGGATTACAGGTGTGAGCCACCACACCTGGCCCTCTTACTTGACTCTTAGCAGCATTCCACATGATTACAGGTGTTAGCCACCATGCCTGGCCCTCTTACTTGATCTCTTAGCAGCATTCCACATATGTGACCTTGCCTTCCTTTTTAAACAGTCTCTTCTCATGAATCCTATGATACTACCCTCTCCCAGTTTTCCTCCCACATTCCTGTCCATTTCTTCCCCTTCTCCTTGACCTGACCCCTATATGCTAGATTTCCTCAAACCTTGATCCTGGACCATCTTCTCTCACTGTACACTTTCTCCCAAGGCACATCTTATCTACTCCCAAGGATGTAAGTACCTTTTCAGCGCTGATGATTTCCCAGAGCTACTTTGCTTCTGGTAACTCACGGCATCAGCACAATTTTCTGGATCCTCAACCTCATCTCTGAATAATTCCTTCGCTTTCCTGCCTTACGGTTAAAGTTGGATCCTGGATCTCCCGTGAGGACAGTGACCCCAGAGTTTTCTCTACCATGCCCTTTGGGGTGGGGCCTCAAGGAAAACATACAGATGTCCTTGTTCCCCACTGGCATTCTAGGCCACTGTTCCTCCTCTGCTACCCGAATCACTCAGCTCTGAAGCTCATGGAATCAGATACCACCTGCTACCCATGCTCACTGCAGTTGATTTTAGCTCCTGGCCCACTGTCACTCTCTCCCACACTACTCTCACCATAATTCTTAATGATTTCAGTATCAGGGCCAGGTACAATAGCTCATGCCTATGATCCCAGCATTTTGGGAGGCCAAGACAGGAGGATTTCTTCAGCCCAGGAGTACGAGATCAGCCTGGGCAACACAGCAAAACCCTATCTCTACAAAATAAAAAAATTAGCCAGGCATGGTGATGCCCGCCTGTAATCTCAGCCACTTGGGAGGCTGAGATGGGAGGATCGATTGAGCCTAGGAGTTCGGGCTGCAGTAGGCCATGACTGTGCTATTTTACTCCAGCCTGGGTGACAGAGTGAAACTCTGACTCTAAAAAAAAACAAACAAACAAATGAATAAACAATATCCAATTATCCTAACACTCTACCTTCTCAGTTCCCCAAATTCCTTTCCTCTAGTGATTGCTCTCAACTGCATCTACTAGGTCATTCCCAACTGCACATAGATATATTATTATATTTTCTCTGTTCCTCCCTTGCTCTCTGGTTACCATGTGATTTCTCTGCTTCCCTTATAGCAATACACCTTGGAAGGGCTATTCTATACTCACAATTCCTCTCCTCCCTTTCCCTCTTGAACCCACTCCACTGAGGCTTTTGTACGACTACTGCAGCAATTCCTGACCAGGTCATCAATGACCTCCATGATCCAAAGGCCAATTTTCGTTTCTCATCTTGCCTGGCTTAAATGCAACACTGACAGGTTTTCACTCTCCTCCTCCTTGAAACATTTCCCTTAGCTTCTGGGATGCCACGTTCTTTGTTCAACTCTCACTTCAGTTACTCCTTCTTGGGCTCCTTTGTTGGTTCGTCATTTTTCTAAATGTTGGTGTGCCCCAGGGTTCAGTCCCAGACTGCTCTACTCAAGTGGCTCTCAACTGGGGGCGATTCTTCCTCATTCACCAGGATATTAAGCAATATCTAGAGATATTGTTGGTTATTGTAACTAGGGTAGAAGTGGCGGTATAGATGTGCTATTGCTATGCAGAGGGTAGAAGCCAGGAATGCTGCTTAACACCCTATAGCATACAGGACAGCCTTCCACAATGAAGACTTAGCTGACAATAATAGTGCAGAAGGTGAAAAATCCTAATTTATTCTCACTTTCTAGGTGATCTCATTCAGTAGAACAGCTTTAAGCACGATCTAATGCCAACAATTTCACAATCTGTATCTTTAGCCCAACTTCTCCACTCAACTCCTGACTACTGTCTCAACACTCACTTGGATATCTATCAGGCATCTCAGATTACACCTGTCCAAAACAGAACTCCTGGACTCACTGAACCTGAAGAAAACAAAAGTACCTGCTTCACCTATACGTTTTTCCATCGCAATTAATGACATCTCCCTAACTTCCAATTGCTCAAGCCAAAAATCTAGGGCTCACCTGTGACTCTTTTCTTTCTGTATACTCCCCATCCAATGCAACAGTAATTCTAACAAATTCACCTTGAAAACATATCCACAATCACAACATTTCTCACTGCCTCTGTCACTACCACCCTGATCTAAGCCACCATCATGTGTGAATTGTGGCACCAGCCTCCTAACTGGTCTCCCTGCACCTACCCTTTCCCCCACCACGCTCTATTCTCAAGACAGCAGTCAAAGCAATCCTTTAGAAGCCCAGATCTTAGATCACGTCATTCCTCCACTTTAACCTTCCACAGCTTCTTCTCATCTTACTCAGAGCAAAAGCCAAAGCTTAAAATAACCAACAAAGCCCTGATCTGGCCCTCAACTATCTCTTTCTTATTATTCTACCCTTTGTTCACTCAGCTGCAGACTCCTGGCTCCTTTCCACTCTTTGAACACAACAGGCTCCTGTTTCAGGGTTCTTTGCACTTTTTATTCCTTTTTCTTGGAAGGCTCCACCTGAAATACTCATTCCCCAGATATCCTTTCTTCTGCTCAAATGTCAGCTTACCCCTGGCTCTTGCCCAACCACCCTACATAAAACATTAACTCCCACAGGTATTCCTCTTCCCTCTTATGCTGTTCCCTTTTTCCTATTCCATTAATCAACTGACAAACTGTCAGAGGCATGTGAACCAGAACAACTCCATCTTGAATAGGAGTTGGGTAAAACAAGACTGAAACCTACTGGGATGCATTCCCAGACAGTTAAGGCATTCTAAGTCACAGGATGAGATAGGAGGTCAGCACAAAATACAGGTCATAAAGACCTTGCTGATAAAACAGGTTGCAATAAAGGAGCAAGCCAAAACCCACCAAAACCAAAATGGCGACAAGGGTGACCTCCAGTTGTCCTCACTGCTACACTCCCATCAACGCCATGACAGTTTACAAATGCCATGGCAACATCAGGAAGTTACATCAGGAGTCTAAAAAGTGGGGGCATGAATAATCCACCCCTGTTTAGCATATCATCAAGAAATAACCATAAAAATGGGCAACCAGCAGCCCTCGGAGCTACTCTGTCTATGGAGTAGCCATTCTTTTATTTACATTTTTTTTTGAGATGCAGTTTTGCTCTTGTTGCCCAGGCTGGAGTGCAATGGTGTGATCTCAGCTCACTGCACCCTCCACCTCCTGGGTTCAAGCTATTCTCCTGCCTCAGCCTCCCAAGTAGCTGGGATTATAGGCATGTGCCATCATGCCCAGCTAATTTTGTATTTTTAGTAGAGACACGGTTTCACCATGTTGGTCAGGCTGGTCTCGAACTCCTGACCTCAGGTGATCCACCTGCCTCGGCCTCCTAAAGTACTGGGATTACAGGTGTGAGCCACCATGCCTGGCTTCCTTTACTTTCTTAATAAACTTGCTTTCACTATGCACTGCGGACTTGCCCTGAATTCTTTCTTGTGCGAGATCCAAGAACCCTCCCTTGGGGTCTGGATCGGCACCCTTTTCCTGTAACAAAACTGCATGTACTTGGGGTTTTTTGGTTATTGTTGTTGTTGCCTATCTTCCTCCATAAGAGTAGGGACTTTGTTTTGTTCCCTGCTATATCCCTGTTCCCTAAAAACGGACTGAAATACATTAGGCAAGCAAATTTTCTTTCTTTCTTCCTGTTTTCTTAAAAGAGATGGGGTCTTACCCTTTTTCCCACCTGGAGTGCAGTGGCATGATCGGATCCTCCCACCTCAGCCTCCTGAGTAGTTAAGATGAAAGGCACACGCTACTCCGCCTGGCTTATTTTAAAAAATCAGGCTGGACACGGTGGCTTACGCCTGTAATCCTAGCAAGTTGGGAGGCCGAGAACGGGGCACTGCTTGAGTCTGGCAGTTCAAGACCAGTCTGGACAACAAGGCAAAACCCCATCTCTACAAAAACAAATAGAAAAATTAGCTGGGCATGGTGGTGCATACTTGTAATTCCAGCTACTTGGGAGGCTGAGGTGGGAGGGTCACTTGAACCCAGGAGGCGGAGACTGCAGTAAGCCATAATTGCACCAATGCACTCCAGCCTGGACAATGGAGCCAGACTGTCTCTCAAAAAGAAAAAAAAAAAAAAGCAGAAAGAAAAAAAAATTTTTTTTGTAGAAATGGGGTCTTGAACTCCCGGCCTCAAGAGATCCTCCCACCTCAGCCCCCCAAAGTGCTGGGATTACAGGTGTGAGCCACTGTGCCCAGCCAAAATATTTAATTAAATGAAATTTGTATCTCTAACATAAAGTCACTCTTTTGAGCCTTAGACCTGTAAACTTCAATGCCTACTTGACATTTCCAAAGGGCTGCTCCCCAGGTACTTCAAATTTACTATGTCCAATAGAATTATTCATATCTATCCAAAATCCATCTTCCGGGTATCTCTGTAAATGGCAACCCCTCCCCACTCACATCTGGTTAGTCACATGAGACACCAGGGAGCTGTCCTTGTTCTCTCTTCTTTTACCATCCCTTACCCCATATTCAATCCACCACCAAGCCCTAGTGAATCTATCTTCCAAAGGTATCTTGAATCCATCTACTTTTCTATTTCTAGTCATTCCCACAATTGAGCCACCAGCAACCCTTACTTGGGCCATGATAAAAGCAAAATTTTTTTTGTATTATACCCATCTAATCCAAATCCACTTTCCACAAAGTAGACTGAGATCTTCTAAAAATACATTTAAAAAAATTTAGATTCAGGGGTACATGTGCAGGTTTGTTACATGAGTATATTGTGTGTATATTCCTATATACATGAGGTTTGGGCTTCTGATGATCCTGCCGCCCAAGTTGTGAACACAGTATCCGATAGGTTTTCCAACCTTTGCTCCCCTCCCTCCCTCCTTTTGGAATCCCTAGTGTTAACTGTTCCCATCCAAAAATGCAATTTTGATGTTAGTAACTCTTTAAAAATCTTTCAATTATTACTCAATGTACTTAGGATAAAATCCAAAAATCCTTAAAAATGGCCTAAGGGTCCCTCATGGTCCGAGTCCTGCCTACCTCTCCAGCCTCAGTATCTCACATCACTTTCTGTTTTACCCACTGCACTTAAGCCACACAGATCTTTGGTCAGTTCCAAACCCGCCACATTCTTTCCACTTCATGACCTTTGCATATGGTGATCCTACTTGCTGGACTCCTCTCTGTCCACTCCCCATGCCTGGCTAACCTCGTGTCCTTTAGATCTCAGGGTAACTGT